>NC_000003.12:167796483-167947998 GCF_000001405.40 Homo sapiens | reverse complement strand
AGTTTCATTTTTTCTGCATGTGGATATTCTGATTTCCCAGCACCATTTATTGAAAAGGTTGGCCTTTTCCCAATAAGAATTCTTGGCACCATTAGTTGGCTGTAGATTTATGGATTAATTTCTGGGTTCTGTATTCTGTTTCATTGGTTAAGTGCCTGTTTTTATGCCAGTACTATGCTGTTTTGGTTACTACAGCTTTGTAGTACATTTTGAAATTAGTTAGTGTGATGCTTCTAGCTTTGTTCCTTTTTTTCAAGACTTTTTGGCTATTTAAGGTATCTTGTGGTTCCACACAAATTTTAGAAATTTGTTTCTATTTCTGTGAAAAATGTCATTGGTATTTTTATAGGGCTTGGATTAAATCTGTAAAATGCTTTGGGTAGTATGGTCATTTAACAATATTAATTCTTCTGATTCATGAGCATGGGATATGTCTTTCCATTTGTTTGTATCTTCTTCAATTCCTTTCATTAGTGTTTTGTAGTTTTTCTAGTAGACGTCTTTCACCTCCTTGGTTAAATTTATTCCTGAGTATTTTTTTTTATTGCTATTGTCAATGGGATTGCCTTCTTGATTTCTTTTTCAGCTAGTTTCTTGTTCATGTATATTGAAATACTACATATTTTTGTATGTTTATTTGCGTCCTGCAACTTTTCTGAATTCTTTTATAATTCTGAGAGGTTTTTTTTTTTTGTAGAGTTTTTAGGTTTTTCTGTATATAAGATCATGTCATCTTCAAACAGACATAATTTGACTTTCTCCTTTCCAATTTGAATGTCCTTTGTTTTTTCCTCTTGCCTAATTGTTCTGGCTAGGACTTCCAGTTCTGTGTTGAATAAGAGCAGTGAAAGTGGATATCGTTGTCTTTTTCCAGTTTTTGTTTGTTTTTTTTTTTTTTTAGACAAGGTCTTGCTCTGTTGCCCAGCTTGGAGTCACAGCTCACTGGAGCCTCGACCTCCCAGCCTCATGCGATCCTCTGTCAGCCTCTTGAGTAGCTGGGACTACACGTGTGCACCACAATAGACGGGTTTTTTTTATTTATTTCTCATAGAGACAGGGTCTCATCATGTTGCCCTGGCTAATCTTGAATCCTGGGCTCAAGCCATCCTCTCTCCTCAGCCTCCAAGGTGTTGAGATTACAGGGATGAGCCACTGCACCTGGCCCTCATTTCAGTTCTCAAAGGGAGAACATTCAGCTTTTTCTTGTGTAGTGTAATATTGGTTGTCCTTTTGTCACATATGGCCTTTATTGTGTTTGGGTATATTTCTTTTATCCCTAATTCATTGAGAGTTTCTATAAAGAATGGATGTTGAATTTTATCAAATAGTTTTTCTGTATCTATTGAAACAATCATGTGATTTTTGTCCTTCATTTTGTCGATGTGATATACCACATTTACTGATTTGCAAATGTTTAACCGTCCTTGCATCCTTGGGATAAATCTCACTTGATTATGGTGTATAATCTTTTTCATGTGCTGTTGGTTTCAGTTTTATGCAATAGTTCTTTGTGTATTGATAGTGCCCTTTGAAGCACATTTTAAAATTTTGAGGAAGTCCAATTTACCTACTTTTCCCCTGTTTGTTTTTTTGTTTTTTGTTTTGTTTTGTTTTGTTTTTGTGTGTGTGTGTATTAGGTGTCATGCCTAAGAAAACATTACCTAACTTAAGGTCATAAAAATTTACACCTTCACAGTGCATTATAGTTTAGCTCTTAAATTTAGGTCTTTGGTCCATTGTGAGTTAATTTCATTTATTGTGTGAGGTAAAAGTCCAACTTCATTCTTTGGCAAGTGAATATTTAGTTGTCTTAGCACTATATGTTGAAAAGACTGTTCCCCACCACCTCCATTAAATTACTTGGCCCCCTTGTGGTTAGCCCATTGCCTATAAATGCCAATATTTATTTCTGGACCCTAAGTTCTACCATTGGCCTATATGTCTGCTATTATGATAGAACCACATGTTCTTAATTACATACATAGTTTTATAATAAGTTTTAAATGGGGACGTGCGTATCTTCCGACTTTGTTCTTTATCAAGATTGTTTTGGTCATTCTAAGTCTCTTGTATTTCCAGAAGAATTTTAACATTAGCTTGTTAATTGCTGCAAAAAAAAAAAGAATAAAAAAAGCAGTCAGCTAAGATTTTGATTGGAATTGATTCTGTAGAATAGTTTAGAGAGGTTTGCCGTCTTAATTTTAAGTATTTTGATTCATAAACACGATATGTCTTTTCACTTATTTAGATGTCCTTTAATTCCTTTCAACAATGTTTTATAGTTTTCAGTGTACAAGTCTGGTGTTTCTTTTGCTGCTTTTGTCCCTGAAATTTTTTTTCTTTTTGATGCTATTGCAAATGAAATTGTTTTCTTAATTTAATTTTCAAATTGTTAATTACTAATGCATATAAATATCACTGATTTTTGTATGTTGATCTTGTATACCATAACTTTGTTGAATTCATTTATTAGCTCAAATAATTTTTAGTATATTCATTAGAATTTTCTATACAGAAAATTATTATATATTGTTCTATATTTCTGTACAGAATATTATCTGCAAATAGAAATAGCTTTACTTCTTACTTTTTCTCTAGAAAAACCTAATTGACCTCGCTAGAATCCTCCAATAATGCTTTTATATCAAACTTTTTTTCTTCTGGTCCAAATTCAATCCAAGATTATGTGCTGTGTTTACTTATAATTGCTTTTTAGTCACTGCCAATAGATAATTTTCCTCAGTATTGGTTAATTTTTTTTTTTTTTGTCTTTTATGACTTTGATATTTTTGAATAGTACAGGCTGGTTGTTTGGTAAGATGTTCCTCAATATGGCCTTCTCTGTTGTTTTCTCACGATTAGATTCAGGTAATATTTTGTGGTAAAAATTTTATAAAAATGATTTTGTGTTCTCAGGGAGGTACATGATATTGCTTTGCTTCATTTCTTGCAGTGTGAATTCTTTTAGTTATCATTCCTTCCAATTATACTAGTTGGCCTTTTATTTTAGTGTTCAGATTTCTCTTCTTCTCCACTTAAAAAATCATGCAGGAAATGGAACACAATATTGGAGGAATATTGGACTTGTGAGTTGGGGTGCAGCTGTGGAGGTTAAATGTACTTTCGTCTCAGACCACACACATTTTAAAGTGAACCTGCCTGGGACTGTTCTTCACCATTTCCTGGGAAGTCTTTATTGCGTGATTCACTGTTTCTTGGTATATATGAGATATTTTCTGTTTGTCCCCTTGGGTCTATTTTCAAACTTTTCTCACCCTTCCTTTTGCCCAGGGTACTGACTTCTATGGTTTCTTGTTGGGTTATGTCAATGATGGATGCTGGCTGGAGCTGGCAGCTTCGAAAAGAGTAAGTTTGAGGCACTTATTCTTCTAGCTTGTGCCCTGAGAAGTGACTACAGGTTGACTGTGTCCAATGCTAAAGGCCACATCTCTTGCCCGGTAGACTTTACTGGAAAACTCACGTATTTGGTAATTGCTCCTGTTCCTGTTTTTTAGGACTAATGATTGTAATAGCTTCACACAGTTGCTAGCCTCAGGCTACCCTATTATTCCTTTATCAAACTTACCTTTTCACCCAGTTTGTAAGATCTCCATGAGTGTAAGATCTCAGTTTGACAAATATGCCATTTATCTTTTTTCTTTATTTACATTCTTATTTTATTTTGGTGGAGATCATCATTAAATTCACCCACAGCTTTCTGTGAAAAGATACATGGATAGTACAATTTTTGATACCTCAAGTCAGAAAATTTCTTTGTTTAACCCTCATTTCTGATTAATTTGGGCTGGGCGAAGAATTCTAAGTTGAATATATTTTTCCTCTTAAATTTTTGAAGAGGTGTTTTCCATTTTCCTCTACCTTCTTGTGTTGTTATTAATAAGACCAATGCCAGGCTGATTTCTGACCTTTTTAATAAAATAATGATTTTTTTTCTGTAGCGCTTTCATGTTTACTTCTTTGCTCGGTGTTCTGGAATTTCTTAAGTCTCTACTTCGTGTGGATCTTTTTTCCTTCACTATGTTGGAAACTCAGGAGATGCATTCTATCTGGAAATTTTGTGTTACATTTTCTATTTCTGAGTATTGCTGTTTTGAACATTAGACTTCTTATACCCATACTCTAATTTTCAAATTTCTCCATAGTTTTATTTTTTTTTAAAAAAAGCTAGATCCTAAAAAATGTCCTTAATTCTATCTTCCAGAATTCGTATTAAAATTTTTATTTTTGGTATATTTATACATACATACACATATATTGTGTATTTGGTTAATTACGTATGTCAAATTGATTGAGCTATTGGTTGGCCAGATATTTAGTTAAACGTTATTTCTGGGTTATCCATAAGGGTATTTCTTGATGAGATTAATTTTCAAATTAATATACTAAGTAAAGCAGATTGTCCTCCCCAGTGTAAGTGGGTCTTGTCCAATGTGTGGAAGGCCTGAATAGAGTAAAATGCTAAGTAAGAGAGAATTTGCTCTCTTTGCCTAACGGGGTTTGAGCTGGGACATTGGTCTTCTGCCTTCAAACTTGGACTTGAGCTAAAACTTACACCATCAGCTCTCCTGGTTCTCAGACCTTTGATTTGAACTGGGACTATACTACTGGCTTTCCTAGGTCTCCGGCTTGCCAAGTGCAGATCCTGAAAATTCTCAGCCTTCCAGCCTTTGTATTTGTGTGTGCCAATTTCTCATAGTAAATATCTTCGTGTGTGTGTGTGTGTATCTCCTGTTGGTTTCTCTGAAGAACCCAAACCAATACAGATTTTTATATGTGCATATTTTTCATTTCTAAAGCTCTTTTATTATTTTCTCAATATCTCTTTGTGGTAGCTTGTTGCTCTTATTTTATAAACACTTATTTTATATCTCTGTGGGAGTTAATTATACATTTTTTCCTTTTATATTTTATTCTATTCCCTGAATTGTCTCTTTCTCCTAGAATTTCATTGTTTGTTTTGGCTTTTTTATTTTGCATCAGAGGCATAAATACCTGATGAGCCTTTAACGTCTGCTCATATTTAAGAAATAATCACTAGAATATTGATTAGAAGTTCTGCACGTATAGGTGGGACTTATCTACGTGTGAGCTTACTATAAGGTGCATCAGAAGCTCTCCAAAAGTGAGTATTGATAGGTCTTTTTTGTTAGGCTACTGAGTTTCCCCAGAAGGGAATCTTTATTGCTGTGCTCTTGGAGATGAGGCTTATTTCTGGTATTTTGAGAGCCATGCAAATGAAACGGGTTAGAGGGTGTCATGGACTGAATGTTTGTGTCTCCTCTATATTTATATGCTCACCAGAAACCAACCATTCTGAACTTTGATCTTGGACTTCTAGCCTCCAAAACTGTAAGAAAATTAATTTCTGTTATTTAAGCCACCTATTCTGTGGCGTTTTTTTATGGCAGCCTGAGCAGACTAATATGGTGTGTATCTATGTCTTTCTCTTAGTACCACTCTTCTTAATATAATGTTTTCATGCCTCATATGTTGCCTTGGTTGTACACGATGTCCTTGGATCTGTTGTCTTATCTCTACAAGGCTGAACCTTGAATTTTCTGCCAAGGAAAAGAAGGGAGTATACGTCTGGTTATGCAGTATATACATTTGGTGTGAAGGTCTAAGTGCCACATCTAAATGCTTTCCACAGATCCACCTGTTTTTAGCCCCACTCTGAACACTTCCCATCAGGCAGATGACTCCAATTCCTGCATGTCTGGGGTTTTACAGATTGAGTTACCTTGTTTCTTGGAAAATTTGTTGCCATCTTTTTCTATTGTTGTTTCCTCTCCTGTCTCTTTCCTTGGAAATGTATGTCTTTGAAATGTTCTAGTTGTTGTTTTCCTGATTGTCATTTTATAATAGTCATTTTAATGAGGTCCTTTGGACACCAAAATATCATGGAGTTGATTAATTCCACTAGTTCTCCCACCCTAGAGAGCCATTTTTTTCAGACCACATCTGCAATAGATTGCAGAATGAACAGCAGGGACAGAGGAAGAGATCAAACTGGCTGGAACACCTAGAGCAGGGGAGGGAAGTAGGAAGCCTGTGCCCCATGATAAAGCCAATATTTAGAAACCAGACTCTTATGGAAATCAGTTGGCCAGACAGTGTTAAGAAACAGTGATAAAGAACAAACGAGGGCTTCCAGCTGTCTCTGAGCCATAGTGAATGACTTCCCCCAACCTTCCTCCTGCCTAATAGCAGAGAGGGCGGGGGAAACCACAAAGAAGCTGGAGGAAACCGCAAAGAAGCTGGATGTAAGCAGATGATGTCTCTTTTCCAAGTCACATGAGAACTAGACAGCCTACAAAGGGGAAAAGGGAAAGAGGAACATTATATTAGATAAAGAGGCAGAATTTTAGGAATAATTGATACTGACTCTTTAAATGCCAAAATGAGACTGCTTAAAGAATAAAAATGGATTAAAGGGCTATGCACTCTGTACAAAATGTATTTAAGAGGATCACTAAGATGATGAACCAACTGAAGTAACAGTATCAGCAAGTTGAACACAGGAAACTGGGTGGAGGCCAGTTTTAAAAACATTTTTTCCAAAGCATTAACTAAACCGCAACATTTCGCTCTTTCTTTCTGACTGCAGTTGTGCTGTAATGGCATCATCCATTATTGCATTAAGTATTATGGACATACGGGGACTATGAGATATTTAGCAAAAACTTTTTTAAACCTCAATTTATAGCCTCTGGTTGGGTGACCTTGGGAAAGCGAGTAAAGTTATTATTTAGCTACATTTCTTTCAATCAAGAGAATAACATCTGCCTTGCAAGTTGTTATGCTGTTATGCAGATCAGAGAAATTGTCTTAGAACCATGCCTAGCTCTCATTAATGACAATTGTTGATAATTCAGTACAAAGACAAAACACAATAAAACTGAACATGTAAGCACAAAATAACTAGGAGAGGTTAACTTATTAGCAAGAAAAGAATTTGAGAAATTTGTTACAAACCTGGAAGTGCTAAGTTAACTTATCACAAGTGGAGCATCTACAACCAAAAGGCAGCAGGGACAATTTCAGCAGTTTGCTCAAGCCAGAAAGGAGACTGATATGTCACACTTCTTTTGCATCATGCATTAGGAGATTCTGTGCTATGAGCTTTGCAAGTCAGATTTTGTATGATGGGCAGAAAGGGAGATATCAAGTTTGAAACTTTTCTCTTTGTTGTGGCCTTTAAATACTGCCGGGGTATGGCTCGTTAAAAGAAGATGAAGCAAAGTCTAGAAATATAAGTTTTACATTTTAATCACATAGGAAGCTCGATGCAGAGATTTTCAGAGGACATTTTTCAAATCATGAACTTCTTAGAATTAAAGGCCTCTAAAGAAACCAACTTTTCAGATCCTTTATGACTCACAAGATTGAATTTTCTACTCATATGTCAAGACACTGAACACATTTGTCTTAAAACTTCAGGGAGAGAAAACAAGTTTATTATTGATTTGTTCAAGGAGGTGGTAGTGCAGATACAAGCGGGTTATGTGTGTAGTGTGGGTGCCAGTGTGGTCTGCACCTGAGTGCCCTGCTGGAGCTAAAACATGACCAGTCATGTCTGGAGGACACGTGAGACTGGTTCACCAGAAATCTATTTATATTAGGAATGAAGCACCTCCTAGGACGTAAATCATCCTAAAGGGAAGAGGAATCAGATATATGGGGCTGGTTCAATGGCAAAGACTATGTCACCTGACAGGTAATTTTGAGGATAGCATGGTTTATGTTACTTAGATTCTCAGCCTCCCAACCTTCTTCCAATTTTCTGGCGTTCGTATACATTTTAGGAATTGTGATAGTTTTAGGTGTCAACTTGACAGAGTTAAGCAATACTCAGATATCTGGTAAAGTATTATTTCTGGATATTTCTGTGAGAGTGTTTCTAGAAGAGTTTGGCATTTGAATCAGTGGGCTGAGTAAGGAAGAGCCACGCTTACCCAGTGTGGGTGGGCACCATCCATTCAGTTGAAGACACAGATAGAACAAAAAAGGAGAAAAGAAAAAAGGCAAATACTTTCTCTCTCCTTTCTAGAGCTGCAGTTCTCTTCTTCTTCTGCCCTTGGACACCAGAACTCCAGATTCTCTAGCCTTCAGCCTGGAACTAAGAGTTATACCAGCATACCCCTAGGCTCTTAGACCTTCGGACTCAGATTTAGCTATGCCACTGGCTTCCTTGGCTCTCCAACTTGCAGATAGCATATTGTGAGAATTCTCAGCTTCCACGGTTGCATGAGCCAATTCTCATAATAAATCCCCTCTCTATCTATCTATCTATCTATCTATCTATCTATCTATCTATCTATCTATCTATCTATCCTATTAGTTCTGTTTCTCTGGAGAAGATTAATTCAGGTATTATAAATAATTTTTGTCATAAACCTATAATAACAGCTCTTTAAATTATTTGGAAAGAATCAGCCCTTTCTATTTACCTGTGTTTCATAGCATAACATCAAAGAGTGAGAGTTGGGGAGTGTGCACTCAAACCCCATCTACCCATCTCCACTTCTGCATGAAATATAGAATGTCTTTCCTAATCTGAGGACTCCAGGGAACCAAGATCCCTTTGGCCTTTCAAGGATCTTAGAGGATGGCAGCAGTGACCATCAAGAGCTGGGTCAGCATTGAGCCTTGGATGTTCACAGATGTAAGACACATTCATGTGACTACACAGATACAACACAGGCCTCAGAAATGAGAAAAGAAGAACATGGTTAACATTCATTCATTCAGCAAGTAATTGTTGACGAATTGACTAAATTGCTAGAATGCTTGGATGCTGTCTAATGAGACAACTTTGCAAAGGCCTAGAGATTCTTCAACAGACCATTTGAAGGAAGGTCATTGCCTATGAAATATGAACTACCTTTCTTAATGTCACCTCCATGAAGGCAGGGGTTTTATCCATTTTAATCACTACTCTAAACCCAGAGACTACAATGGGAACACATCCATGATAAGATCTACTAAATACTTATCAAATTTGTTGAATGACTATGATTTCATTTACTATTCTGGGCAGATTGTTCAATAAAACATGGTTTAATGGTTAATTTTGTGTTTCAACTTGGCTGAGCCATGGAGGTGCCCAGATATTTGGGTGAACATTGTTCTGAGTATGTCTGTGAGGGTATTTCTGAAAAGACTAACATTTGAATTGGTGGACCAAGTAGAGCAGATTGCCTTGCCCATTGTGTGTAGGCTTCATCCAATGTGTTAGAGGCCTGAGTATAACAAAAATGCTGAGTAAGGGAGAATTCACTCTGCCTGACTGTCTTGGAGCTGAAACATCAGTCTTCTCCTGCCTTTGAATTCAGACTAGAACTATAATATTGGCTCTCCTGGGTCTCCAGCTTGCTGACTGCAGATCATGAGACCTCTCAGGCTTCATAACCTGTGAGACAATTCCTTATTTTTAAAATATATTTATATATATATATATATAATATATTTATATATAAATATAATATATATAAATATATATATAAATATATATATAATATATATAAATATATATAAATTTATATTTATATATAAATATATAAAATATAATATATATAATATATATATTTATATATAATATATTAGATATTATATATAAATATATATAATATATTATATATTATATATAAATATACATATTTATATATATAATTTATGCTACATATATATGTAACACAAACATATATATTTGCATGATATATAAATGACATATTATGTATTCTATAACTATATATTACATACTTATTAGCATAATCTATATGTAATCCATGAGTTTTAGTCTGGGTTCCCCAGAGGAACAGACTGATAGGATATATATATATATATATGTGTGTGTGTGTATACATCCCCACAGCCCCCCACACACATATTCCATGTATATTATACACACATACATATATAATACATATACACCATTATATAAAATACCTTATATATAATCCATGTATATTATATACACACATATATTAAATACATTTGTTCTCTTCAGCCTTTCTTATGTTTAACTTGCTTTTATTTTTCTACCTTCCTGAAGAAGAAACTTAGATTATTGATTTTAGATATTGTTTTTCTTTTAATACAAGCATTGAACACTACAAATTTCCCTCTAGTGCTGCTTTAGCTGCCTCCCACACACAATCTTGAGAAATTAAATTAATATGAGTAAATATCTATATTCGTGACTCTAGTTATAAAAAGAGAAAAAAGAGGAAGAAAAAATACCATATTTATTTGAACAGCTTGCTCATTGTAGTTAATAACTTACTGATAAAAGAGAAAAGGAATCAGTGAGCAGTATTACTGACACATCAGTAAACACTGATAGCACCACAACCTAGAGCATGGGTTTTTTTTCCAGGACACTTCTGATACCATCATTATCTTGCAGAAGCAGTTATTTTAGAGCCAAGTCCCTATAAAACCAATTAAAGAGTGTAAATATGGTTGATGTTTAGGAAGTCTTCCATTGGCCACTCTGGTCCATTTTCCAGATTATGACATTTGTATCTGGGTGGTAGTGGTAATAATGGCAGTGTTGCTGGATCAGAAAGGAAAAAGAAAGAAATGGATCCATAATTGTAGTAAATATTTATTGAATAAACATTAACTATTTACTTAATAACAGGGAAGAAAAGGAATTAAGTCATGAAACTTCCTTTTATTGTGTAATTACTTTACTTCCTTGCAGCTGGACATTGTGCGGGAAAAATACTTTTTGCAGTATCTTCACAACCCAGCAGCCACAATGACCTTTTAAAACATAAGTCAAATCCTGTCACTCTTCTGCGCAAAACCCTCCAATCACTTCTACCTTACTCAGAGTGAAAGCCAGAATCATTACAATGGCTTAAAAGATCCTGGATAATCTGGCCCTCCATTGCCTGTGGGGTTTCATCCTCAGTTATTCTTTCCTTATTCACTCTGCTCCCAACAGTAACCGCTTTGCATTTCCTCCAACATTGCGGAAATCTCCCCAAACAAGGACTATTATACTTGCTGTTCTCTGTGCCTGGGTCAGTTTCCCTCCAGATATTCATATTGCTTGCTTCCTTACCTCCTTCAAGGCTTTGCTCAAAAGTCTTCTTCTAATGGACTCCTCCCTGACCACCCCACTTGAAATTGAAACGTGTAGACAACAACCCAGATTCCACTTTAGTGCTTTATTTTTTTATTTAAGACTTATTCTCTAATATGCTATGAGCTACACTTCCTTAGTTTATTGTCTCTTTCTGTCTCCACTAAAATAGAAATTTCATGGAGGCAGCGGCTGTTGTCTATTTTGTTCCCTGCTGTATCAACAGCATGTAGAACAATTCCTAGTACATAGAAGGAATTCAGTATACTTTTGATGAATGAGCAAATAATTGAATGAATACTACGAAGATTTGTCTAGAAGCTGGGTGTGTTGAAATTGCTTGTCACAAAGCCAATAGCATCAAAAACCTTTTATAAATCACCTGAATGTGAAACGTTTTTACTAGCTGTTACTCTTTGGAAATTTGAGTGTGTGGTGAGTGTTACTTGCAAATTCTATAGCTCTTTATTTCTCTAAGTCATATTTCTGCATGGAGTCCCTATTTGGTCAACAAAACGGGAGATAACTCAATATTATTAATCACTGGCTGCTTTGTCCTTTGTCAGGTTTGCGTACAGGTCCTGGGAAGCTAATGAGGTCCACAAAATTTGGCAAGGTCCCTCTGGTTTCTTTCCCCTGGCATGATCACTGATACACTTGCATGTTGCCTTGGAGGCAATCTGCTCTTCTGCATCTCTGCCAAGGTTTGACAAGCTGTGTCCTTGCCAAGGCTCAGAGCCTTGTCGTCTTGAGTCTAGGCTTCCTAGGTTCATCATGGCACTGTGCTTCCTGCAATCTTGCTACCCTCCATGATTTTAGCAAGCGAACGGGATATAAATTCCGAATTCTCACAAAACCTGCAATTACCTTCTCATTTGGAATCCAGGGACTCTCTTTCTCCCAAGGGCTGCTACCAACTTCTCTTCTCTGAAAGAATCCTTCGTAATCTCTGCTTGAAAGCCTTTAAAAAAGGTAATGTTGGTCTCTCTCATGCAGGATGGGAAAAAGACGCTGAAACAGTCAGATTTTCTCTTTGAAAAAACATTTTAAAGAAAATATTTTTAAAATATATGTTTCAAAACATATTCAAAACCTAAGAAATAATTTTCTTAGTGAATTTTGCTACGGGATAGTTGTGAGGTGAGTTTAGGGGCTTTGCTAAGGGATAAATGAAAAGCCTACCAGGGTACACTTCTTGAAATAAAAAACAACATTAGGGTTTTTTAATTGTTGTTGGTTGGTTGGTTGGTTGGTTTTAAGAGACAGGGTCTCCCTGTGTCACCTAAACCTGACTACAATGGCCTGTTGATGACTCCCTGCAGCCTCAAACTTCAGCTCAAGCAATCCTCCTGCCTCAGTCTCCCATGTATAGAGGACTACAGGCACATGCTGTCACAGCTAGCTAATTTTTTTAAATTATCTTTTATAGAGACTGAGTCTCACTTTGTTGCCCAGGCTGGTCTCGAACAACTGGCTTCAAGCAGTCCTTCTGCCTAAGCCTACCAATATTCTGTGGATACAGGTATTAGCCTCTGTGCCCAGCCAATATTAGGTTTTAAATAATAATAATGGCTTAACAAATCTAATTTATACAAAGTTTTTTTGGAAAACATAGAATGAAAGATAATAATGCAGACAAAAGTTACATTGTAGCAGAAAAACAGATATTTGTAGCATGAAAGTAAATGTATTTTAATGGGAAAAATATTGGTAAAGTTTTTTAAGGTTAATAATTTGCTAGATCATGTGCAAATGGGAAATATTTTTTACATTATATCCACAAGTGTGTTTTTTAGAATACTCTAAAATATGAAATACAATGGAAAAAGTTGATACTCTTTGTGGACTTTTTTGTTTTAATATCTGTATATTCAGCTGTTTCCCAATTCATTATGAATTCTCAGTCTTTGTTTTAGTTTTGTTCCAGTCGTTGAACTGAGCTTGAATGAAGTTGAAGTAGCAGAACATAGATTCCATCACAGACTCTTACTCTGGAGCTTCCTGGCTTGACTATTAGAAATAGAGCTCCCACATACTTGTTTCAAGACGGTTCTTTGACTCAGTGTGATGGATAATTTTATATGTCAACTTGGCTAGACTATGGTGACCAGTTGTTTAGTAAACACTAGTCTAGTTGTTTCTATAAAGGTATTTTTTTAGACAAAATTAGCATCTACAGCGAGTAGAGCAGATGACTCTCCATAATGTGGGAGGGCCTCATCCAATCATTTGAAGGACTTAAGAGCAAAGACTGAGGTTTCTCAGAGAGGAAGGAATCCTGCCTCCAGGCTACGACATAAAAATTCTGCCTGAGTTTCCAGAACTTTGGACTCAAGACTGCAACATCAACCCTTACTTGAATCTCCAGCCTCCTGACTTGCCCTGCACATTTCAGACTTTCTGTCCCCTACAATAATTATTTGAGAGAGCCAATTTCTTAATGCAATTTTTCTCTCAATCTCAATAGATAGATAGATAGATCCTCTTGGTTCCATTTCTCTGGAGAGCCCCAACTCATACATTCGATGTGGTACATTTGAAATGATACTATGATTAAGTGTCAAAGTGGGCTTTGCATTTGATGCCAGTGTGCAAACTGTTGATTACCAGCTTACAGCAAAATAATGCCAAAAAAGTATAGAAAATGGGAGTAAACATTTAGAAACCATTATCACAATTGACATACCACGGTATCCAAGCTCATGATCACTGAACTCATCATGTTTGATAGGACATAGATCAGTATGGATACTGTTGAACTTGCATTTATGAGGGGGATTTGTGTGTGGTTCACCTGTGTACTAGTCATGTGTGATATTTTAAAGTTATTCTGTTAATTAGAACCCACAATTATTTTAAAATCTGAGAATAGATAAGCATTAAATATTTGTAATGTGTTGTTTTACTTTTTAATTCAAAATTTAAAGTTTTGCAATGTAACATTGTTAGCTATGTTTCAGAAGTAAAATTCGTATTATTTGTATTTAATTCCAATTTGCATATGGCCTTTTTCTAAGTGTAGTTCATTTGATTTTTTTTTTAATCAGGAGAAAGAACTTCTTTCTGAATGTGGCAATTAAATGTGTGATTCCAAGAATGGAAGATCAAAGGAATCCATACTAGTTTTAGCTGGAAATCTGATGCCTCAGGTAGAGAGTTTAGTTTTGTGGTTGCCGCTGATAGAGAAATGTGTTAATACCACAGTGTGATACTTTAGGAGATGCGCTGGCTAATGAAGTAATAACATGAACACTTAAGCAGAACTTGCATTCATAACATAAAGAAACGGTCAAATCTAAAATAATTCTTCCAAAGAAAAAATATTGAAATAAAAGGCCAGCAGAAGTAGATGTTCACTATTTCACATATAAACATTAGTGCTTTACAGGTTACCTGTAATGTAATAATACATACAGATGCTGAATCTTAAACAAAAGAATGTATAAAAGATTTTTACTTGGAAACTTTGGTATATTTTGCAGCAGAGAAGGTAGCTTAAGTACCTTACAATGATATCACAGCTTGATGTATTCTGGAACTGGTGAATGATACGGAAAACCAAGTCAGAATAAAGAAAGCTAGCAAAGTATTTTTCATCACAATGTGATAAATGCACAGATATTGCTAACATGACAGTTCTTTCATAGTATGTGATTTAAATATGATGGTGATTATTCTGTCAACAAATGTGGTCCAGAGCTTAAGTTTAGTATGGGAAAAAATTCTGACAGTATAGTTTTAATGGCAGGAAAATAATCTGGAGTAGCTACCTAGATCAAGGAGCTTGTCCCAACATGTAGATTAACTCACTGTTTCCAACATTGATAAAGTCTTGCCTTTAGGAAAATAAGGGGATAAAAAGTAAGCTAAACTGAATAGCAAGATAAGTAGTAAAAATTATGAATTATATAAAGGCAAATACTATAAATTTAGGAATATTTCCCTTTTATATAATAAAGAAACTGGTTGTAAACAACAACTAGGTATGCTGACATAGACGGTTATCAAGAGGAAAAACTCTATCAAGAACAAACTCTTCATATTTCTACAATATGCTTTTTTTTCTTTTTTTTCTGAGACAAGGCCTCTCTTTGTCACCCAGGCTGGAGTGCAGTGGTGTGATCATGGCTTATTGCAACCTCAAGCTCCCAGGCAGAAGCCATCCTCCTGCTTCAGCCCCACAAGTAGCTGGGACTACAGGTGCATGCAACCATGCCTGGCTAATTTTTTTTTTTTTTTTGTATTTTTTGTAGAGACAGGGTTTCTTCATGCTGCCCAGGCTGGTCTCGAACACCTGGGCTCAAGCAGTCCTCCTGTCTCAGCCTCCCAAAGTGCTGTTGTGAGCCACCAGGCCCAGCCTCTACAATATTGGAGCAGTTTGTTATGAACTTTTTAAAGATCTTCCACAAGATGCTTGACTTGTTTATTTTTCTTATATCGGTGGCGTTTTTAATGATCTTTAATTTTTTTCATGCAAGAAAAGAATGTAACACATTTCCCAATGGAAGATAAGAAGAAGGGATAAAATGAAAGTCAGAAGCTTGGAAGAACAGTTTGTATTGACTGTTATTGCATGTCTCACAATTGAGCAGTTATGTATGAAGCAGGTGATCTTGATGAAGCACATCAGCTAGATGAAATTCCCATAGGATATTTTTGGAGAGAGAAAGTGAGGCATGGGGTGAGTTTGCTTTAGAATATGGATATGCATCTATTACATAGGCAATTACTACCATTCTTTTGTTCTTCCTTACTTGGCTCCCCTGTTTAATTTCTCAAAAGATTAAAGATAGCATGAATAAAGCATATGTAATGAGTATTAATTATTTTGCTCTACTAAAAGCATTCCTTTTTTGGCATTCTTCTTTTTTGATAAATCCAATTTTCTTTTCCTTTTCTTTTTTTTTTTTTTTTTTTTGAGATGGAGTCTCACTCTGTTACCCAGGCTGGAGTGCAGTGGCGCAATATCGTCTCACTGCAACCTCTGCCTCCCAGGTTCAAGCAATTCTCCTGCCTCGGCCTCCCAAGTGGCTGAGATTACAGGTGCCCGCCACCATGCCTGGCTAATTTTTTTGTATTTTTAGTAGAGATGGGGTTTCACCATGTTGGCCAAGCTGGTCTCAAACTCCTGACCTCAGGTGATCCATCTGCCTCGGCCTCCCAAAGTGCTGGGATTATGGGCATGAGCCACCACGTCCAGCCTGTAAACACATTCTGCCATATGTGCCTAGAATCCCTGATGATCATGATGGTGATGATAATGATGATGGTGATGTTTATGTTACTGGTGTAGATCACTCTAATTTAAAAATCTACAATATGTGTCTCTTTTGTCCTCTTCTTGGAACAGCAAACTTTACATTCAAGGGCACCATTTGACTCTGTCACTGGAAGTGAGGCATTTAATCTTTTGAGATATCTTGGTATAATGCCACAAAAGCTTTTAAAATGGCATTTTTGTGGAGAAAGATGCTCTGGCTCATCAACAACTACAGTTATGTACAAATTATTGTCCCAAATTACTCCTTTTTACTTTTCTTGTTCTCCAATCTGAGACCTGCAGGAAAAAAAAAAACTGATTCATTTACTCATTTAGCAAACCTGTACAAACCTTTGAAGGATTATACTGTCAATAAATGTGGTTCTCTCTAGTCCTTACTTTTTGGAACAAAGAAGAAATAGTCGCCTGCTCTCTTGATCAGTTCAGATATATGGGGTCAGATCCTAGCTTAATAATATGTACCAGACATGTCAGAAATACTGATATTTAGTGAATCTGAAACAAGTAATAGTTGTAAATTTTTGTTGAGTTCTGTAGGTTAGAGAATGGCAAGGTCTATCTCCACATTTTATCTTGAGTCAGCACCACACACAGTTGTCTCTTTCTCTCCTGCCTCCCCCTAGTAGCCCTAGTATGTAATGCATCTCTCCAGGTATTTGCACTTTTGTAGGCTTAAAAGACTTTTACTATTGAGATGATTCAAGTAGGAAATGGCAGTGTCAGGGCTTTATATATCTGGGATGACATTGATGACTTTGTCTAAGGCCTCAGGTACAGTGAAAGAGACTATTTTGGGCAACACTCTTGCCTTACCAGCAGCATGTGACCAGCTACCTACTGGGTCTATTGTATCCACCCTGACTGATCAAAATGTAGTTGGGGCTTCTGGAGAATGACTTTAATAGGGTCACGGTAGAGTCATACTGAAAGTTGTGAAAACTAGAAGTGTGTAGCTAGATCTCTGGTTTTGTAGTTGTAAGACCTGAGATTGAGCTAGCTCCAACACTTACTAGCTGGATGATATCAGGGAAGTCACTCTAACCTCTCTGAGTCTGTTTCCTGAACCATATAAGGGAAATAATATCACTTCATGGACACATTTTGATGATTACATGCAATAATACAAGAAGAAATTTTTACACAGTGTATTCAAATACCTAACTGCACATTAATAGGTCCTCTACATTATACTCACATGTTTATCTTGCAGTTTATTCCTAAGCCTGCTGGATTAATTAGTAGCTCTCAATAGGAAATGGCCTTATTTGAACTTACTTATGATTTTCTAGACCTTTCCTGACATTTCTAAAATTTTCTTGAATCTCTTTGTCATGTTCTCCAAGGAGACTCATTTCACATTTAATTTGAATGCTTTCCAGTGCATCTGCCTTTTCTCTGCTCAGGAGTCTGCTCTTGCAGTGAGCTGGTTGCTTATGTACACAGCTTCAGGCTGCCCAGGCTCAGGCTTCACTCACACCTTTCAACATGGCCCTGATCCGCCTGAGGAATCTGCTCTCTTCCCGTCTCCCTGACCTGTCTCTGGGTCTAATTTACTTTCTTCTCGCCAGCTGGTTAGAAAATACTATATACATTCTTCTTTCAGGAAAGAGGGACAGAGTCTCCTACTGGAGGAGTTTAGGTCTCTCCTGAGCAAGTTTTCACAGACTTACTACACAATCCTCTCCAGCTGTCCAGACATGCCCCTCACACACCAGCGGTTTTACCCCCACTTCCACCTACTGAAGTTTTATATTCAGACTATATTGCTGAACCTGATCTATTGTACCAGGCTTTTTTTCTCAAGTATGTGGATTGTTCTCTCAGGGTACCCACTGGGACTCTCGCTAGTCTATTGTTTCTTGTCACTCCATACACACTAGATTCAGATTGTCTTCTTTGAGTCTCCTGGACTGTGTGTAAATCAGAGATTGTGCCTAGGCACTGGTGAATATGCCAATAAACTGCTTATACCAAAGTACCACAACCTTTCTTAAGCCCTCTCATTCACTATAAATAATTTGGGTAAGAATAACTAAATTGCTTTTAAAACAAGTGTCTTTACTTAAGTCCTCCCATTCACTATAAATAATTTGGGTAAGAATAACTGAATTGCTTTAAAAACAAGTGTTACATATAACTAGATAAGCAGCATCAGAACATGTAACTCCTCAAAAAAAAAAAACCTCTTTTTCATATTAATACCCGTCCTGATGGATTGGCCGCTTATCATTATAAAATATCATTATTTATTTCTAGTAACAATTTGTCATTAAATTTGTCTATTTTTCATATACTCAGTATAGTCATTCCAGCTCTTTTTTGGTCATTGCCTGCATATCACATCTTTTTCTATGGTTTTACAGACATACCTCAGAGATATTGCAGGCTGGGTTCCAGAACACTACAATAAAGTGAATATCGCTGTAAAACGAATCACATGAATTTTTTGTTTCCCAGTGCATGTAAGTTATGTTTACACCATACTGTAGTCTATTAAGTATGCAGTAGCATTATGTCTAAAAAATGCATACTTTAATTTAAAAATACTTTATTGCTAAAAAATGCTAACAATTATCTGAGCCTCAGTGAGTCATAATGTTTTTGCTGGTGAAAGATCTTGTCTTCATATAAATCTTTTTAGATATGTACCATATCTTAAATAGAATGAAAGTAAAACATTGTTTTTAAATACTAGCTAAATACCATTGCCTGCTTGAGCCTATTAGTCTGAAATTTTACTCTCTCTTAAAATATATTAGTTTTAACAATGTAATGAAGATATCTCAACACTAAAGACTATTCTTGACTCACCAAAAGAAATCAATTAAAAAGGAGAAAGTTCTACCCACTTAATTCAGTGTTATCTAATGCGCTACTCGAAATTCCCTGTACACAGTCCACGTTTTTCAAAATGCTCTACCAGTGAGAGCTGGCCAATTTTTCTACTCTTTTTAGAGACACATATTTTCAACATAGAAAATACTTGGGGCTCATCTCATTGAGCATAGCCAAGCAGCTAAGGATGTGGAACTACATATGGTGGTGGTTCTAAATTGGTGCCTAAACAGTCCAACAGTGTGAAACAGGGAACAACCATCACATTAAAAGGAGCACTGAGTTCTTTTAGTCACCATATATTTCTTTAGAGCAAAGTAGAAATCTTATTTGTATGTCTAGACTAATTCTTTTTTTGACATTCGAATCAGTCACTGAACAAAGTCACTCTTTTAGTTGTCACAATGGTTGATTTACAGAATGTTAGTGTTACAAAGTTTATTGGAAGACATTGAAATTGAACTTTACATTTTCTATATGAGAAAACTGAATACAGATAGGTGAAATCAATCCCTTGGGCTCTCCCTGCTACTTCATGGCAAAACCAGGCTCTAGAGCCCCGCCTAGTGGCTTTTCCTCTACACCAGTGGTTCCCCCACTGGGTTGTGCATCAGAATCACCTGAAGAGGCCAGGCCCAGTGGCTTGCATCTGTAATCCCAGCACTTTGGGAGGCTGAGGCGGGCAGATCATGAGGTCAGGAGTTCGAGACCAACCTGGCCAATATGGTGAAACCCCCATCTCTACTAAAAATACAAAAATTAGCCAGGCATGATGGGACATGCCTGTAGTCCCAGCTACTTGGGAGGCCGAGGCAGAAGAATCACTTGAACCCAGGAGGTGGAGGTTGCAGTCAGCCGAGATTGTGCCACTGCACTCCAGCTTGGGCAACAGAGTGAGACTCCATTTCAAAAAAAAAAAAAAAAATCACCTGAAGGGTCTAGCAAAAAAAAAAAATAGTGACACTTGAGCCTCATTCTAGACGAATTAAATCAGAATCTCTGGGGTGTGGGTATAGGGCATTGTACTTTTAAAAGCTCCTCAGATGATTCTAATATGAAGCCAGGGCTGAGTCGCATTTTATGCCACTCTCTTGCAGAGTAAAAATATTTACAAATATTAGCTGATGGATTCAGTTTTTTTGCCTTTGCTCTCTAAGTATTGATGCTGAAGCATCTATTGCCTTAGGGTGTGATAGAGAGAAAGCCAAGGGCAAAAAAGTCATTGTTCACCTTTGATTTTCAAAATAGACTTTAAAAAGTGTTTAGCAAAAAGAATTTGAAAGCTAGACTTTCAATGGCAAGGGCAAGGCTCTTGAGAGAGAAAAGGCTTTTCTAAATTCCAAAATCTTTCTTTCTAGTATCAAAAGTCAGAAGCTGTTGGACTCAGACGTGGAGTACAAGTGAACCACATAAGAGGAAAATATCGGGCTACGTTGAAAGAGGCATCTCCAAGTACACAGAAATGAGGGTAAAACATTAATGATGACTACTCTTTTAGAGAAAACTGGAAGCAAACAAAAGATGCGTGTCTTAGGCTGGCTACCTGATGTAGAGAAACAGAAACAATAGGAAAGAGAGAGGAGAGAGAGAGAGAGAGAGACAGAGAGAGAAAAATTTTTAAGGAATTGACTCAAGTGATCATGGAGGCTTGCAAATTCAAAATCTACAGGGTCAGTTTATAGGCTGGAGACCCAGGGCAGAGCCAATGTTGCAGTTCCAGTCCAAAGGCCAACTTCTAGAAAGATTTATTCATGTAGGAGGAAGAGGGTGCCGGGGGAGTCTTATTCCATTCAGGTCTTTAACTGATTGGATGAGGCTTACCTACATTACATAGAGCAATCTGTTTTACTCAAAGTTCACCGATTTAAATGTAACCCTCATCCAAAAAATATCCTCACAGAAACTTTCAGAATAATGTTTGATCAAATTTCTGGGTACAGTTACCCTACCAAGTTGATACATAAAATTAACCATCACACCTAGCATATGCCCAGTTGTGCTTCTGTTACCTGTGACAAATCCATACGGGTCTGCAGCAACCTCAATTCTTGCCTCCTCAGAAGAAAGAATTGAACTGAGGGGCATGAGGCAGAAGAAGAGATGGAGGCCAGTTTTACAGCAGGCGTGGAAGTTTATTAAAAAGCTTTAGAGCAAGAATGAAAAGAAAGTAAAGTACTCCAAGTAGGCATTTTGGAAGTCAAGTGTGGAATTTAACCTTTTGACTTGGAGTTTTATATGCCGGCATACTTCTAGTGTCTTGCATCCCATTTCCTTTGATTCTTCTCTTAGGGTAATCTGCCTGCATGCATGGTGGCCTGCTAGTACTTGAGAGGTGAGCATGAGCAGTGTGTTTACTGGAGTTATACACATACTCGTCTGAGGTGTTCTTCCCTCTTCCAGTGAAATGTCCCCAGAAGGTCATATACCAGTTAAACCCCACCATTTTGCCTCTTAATACACATGCTCAAGCCCACTCACACAATTCCTGAAATCTTATTGGGAAGCTGCCCATCACCAGTTACAGGCATTTTTGTCTATTGGGAAACTGCCTTGCCCTGGCTCTGGCTACAACCAATTATTATTTTAGAGAGGTAGTGTGACAATCACCTGACACCTCACCATCACCTGATGGTTGCCTGACATTCCTGGTGGAGTAGGGGGAGGCGTCTCCTGCCCCACTCATACCTGGGTAGCTACGTACTGTAACACTTCTGCCAAACCTATCTCTTACTCTCTCCTTTCTGTTGTGCCCCAGCCAAAATTCAAGGAGGAAGAATATCTGCTCGTAGATGGATTTTAGGGTCAAAATGTAAAATGATTTATAGGAGACAACTTTATATACCAGAGGGACAACATGAGGATCCACACACCCTAAAGCTTTATTTATTGTTAGAATTTTTTTTAAGTGGGAAGAGAAGCTACATATAGAATAGCACAGGATCGAAAAAGGTTACCCCAGCGTCTTGAATATTGTAGCTGCTAAATAAATGTTAGTTCCCGTGGAAAAAATATTTATCTATCAAAATATAGATATCTGTAAAAAATGAAGTTTCTGATTCATATCTAATGGTTCGCCTGCTGTTATAGCTTTTAAATCAGAGCTAGATTATGTAATGCCTTTTGTGTAGTTGGAAGAGCTTGGGAGAGTTAAGTATGGGGAAAAGCATGGGCAGAGATGAGCAGATACTATCCGTCAAAGTTTTGAGTACTAGAACAATAACGCATAATAAAATAAATTTTCTCTGTACAAATTTATGTTCTTTCACCTGTGAGTTATTTTCTGTGTTTACGCATGGTAATTTACTGAGAAAAAATGACATCAAGACTTCTTAAAATGTGTTATGGATGGATAATGATTTTAAAAGCAGAGAAAATATATGTAATCATTGAACGGGTGTCTGCTTGCAAAAAGAAGTAAATAAACATTTAAAAACAATTCATCAGAATGAGTTTTACTTCTAAAATATGGTGGACAATATACTCTGTGGATACTTAGTACAAATTCATTTGAAAGGCATCTTAGGTCTTTTACTCAGTGATCAACTGCTGTGTCTTTATTTTTATTTTAGAAAGCCAAAAAGAGAGAGACTATAATTACTCCGAATAATACAGACCAATATTCAGCTATTCATTGCATTTTATAGCTCTGTGTGACAATAAATATATGTTTATATTAGTTCCTTATTTTAATCCTTCATTTGGGCAACAAGGGATTGCTATATTATTAGCTTTTTGTGTAATGTGATCTGCATAGGGAACATCTTTTACCTATCTAAGACCATACTGGCAATAGATTGAGAATCCAGATGACTGGAATCTATGAGACTTATTCAAGATATTGCTTTGATGGTTTATAGTGGGTTTTGACTTAGGTCAAATAAGATACAATGTTCAATTTGAAACTATCAGCATATTTGTATTTCATATGTAACCACATACTCTAATATTGAGAGTAACTTGAGATTAGCATGATGTTTTAGCCACAGGACTCTGGAATACCAAAATCCTTCTCTAGAAAAATACCTCTCACAATTTTCTGGAAAGAGATAAGTGATGATGACAATGACCAGCTAAACAAAATAACACTTTATTAAAAATTGAGTCTTTGCTACTCCAAAAGCCACTGACAAAGTCTGGTAAATTGTGCTGGGATTCAACAGAACTCATGCCTAAGTGATATACAAGAGTGACCATCATCCTGTTGAGCTGACATTTAGAAAGAATCACTCCTATAGAACAAAAGCTGTATCTGCTAGCTCTGAAAGACATGGAGGCAAGGAAGCAGAAAAGAGTTTTTGCTCCATTTGCCCAGCACTGAGTTAGCCTAGACCACTTGCTGTAGACCTTCAAAGATCAAGGCAAGGTCTCCTGCTGTGCAGGAGGGTGGAAGAAAAAAAAAAGTGTGTGTGTGTGTGTGTGTGTGTGTGTGTGTGTGTGTGAAAGAGAGAGAGAGAGTCAGAGATAGACAGAAAGCTGGTACCCTTACCACTTTTCAAGTGTGGAAGAAGGAAAACTGGGGAAAGCAAAATCAAAGCCCTCTTGAAAACTCCAGCTGTAGAAAACTCAGCATGTCAGCAATCAGTGGCCAAGCAGTTCAGCTCTAGCTCCTTAGATGGAAGGAGAAGGAGAGGAAGGATAGAACTGCTGACTAGTGAACTGATTTGGTCATGGGAAGTGGGTAGAAAAGAAGCCCAGAACAACCTCAGGGCTAACATCTGTCCCATAGATAAGTTCATGATTCCATGAGATTTTTGGTTTTCACAAAGTATTTTTTCAGCCATATAATGTTTATTTCTTTAGACTCATGACATACATTTTTTTAAAGTTTTCCAGCTCCAGAAATATAATTTCAAGGAGTATACATCCAAAGTTCACTCACCTACTCAATACTTATTGAGAATAACCCTGAGGTTTTTGAGGGGTATAAAGAAGAACTAAGGTGAATCTGCCCTTGAAGAAACTTGCATTTTAGTAGTCATTGTCAAAAATAACTAGCATACAAACTATTAAGTAAAAATTGCCATAAAATATATATAGCTCAAGGACACTGAGAGCTTAGAGAAAAATGAAGATTTTTTAAGCAACAAATTTCAGTATGATTTGTATAAACTCGTATAATCAGTTTTGAAATGACCATTTAGAAATTATAAACAGAATGCATATAATACTTCTTTTGAAGAGACAAAAAAGCAGAAAGCAAATATACACCTGAATGATTCAAATATTGATGCATGTGGTCCAAAGCTCTAAAACTAATTAGATATTTGGTTTCATGATTGCAATTAGCCTTTAAAAAAATAGGCATCTATTAACATAGTTTGGCATTATAATGACAAACAATTAGTGATAATTGTTCTATTCTGGAAAGAAATAATAAATGGAAGTAGTTGGCTTCTAAATAAATTAAAAAGTAAGCTTGCTAACCTAATTTTTAAAATGTGGTATGGGGAATTTATTTTAGGAATCTTCCACTTTGGATGTACAAAGAACTTGAAGAAAATAAAATTCTTTTTCTTGCTTTGGTTATTTCTCATTAGCTTTCCCTTACCTTTCCTCCACCCTCCTAACCCCACAGACTCTTACGTTACCCATTTACATTTCCACTTGAATATTAGAGAAAATATCAGAGTATTTTCAAGAGGCTGGAAGCTGAGAAAAATTCCTTATAAGATGGAATTAATTATAATCACTTGAGAGATTTGAATAATTAGTTGAAAGTTACAGAGGGCAGATATCAGCTCAATATAAGGAAGAACTCCCTGAAGATTAGGAAGAATTAAAAACCATTTTCTTAGATGTTTCCAATACCTCAGTTTATTCAAAGGCGAATTGGAAAGTCCTTTACTGGATATTGTAGAGCTGATTGATGTAAGCATTCACTGGGACTAGTGAGGAGCTAGGCTTGTTGATATGTAAGTTTTCTTTATGAACTGAAAGGCTTTCTGTCACTGAAATTATTTTCTAACAAAGGAGTTATTCACATTATGTTTCTGTCTCAGAAAATTGAGTCCCCTACACAATTTATTCCCTGAAATTGTTTTGAACTGACCCATCCAGATAATCCTGCACCTGGTAGACATGGGACATTCAGGGGAAGAATGAACTTGGGACACAAAATTAGATATGAGATACTAAGTTGCACATGCTCATTCTTTTTATACCTATTACCTCCAGTGTATTGGAGAATAATTAAATATTTCAGAAGGGTGGATGTAACTATAAGTTTTAGGATGAGAGCTTGGTGTCATTCAGTTGAGTTAAATAGAATGTGGTCCGATGTCAGCCATCTTTGGCACTTATGCACAAAATTTCCACAAATATAGTTTGATTGTTGATAAAAATCCCTGAATTCTCCAACGCTGTACATCTTCTGGTATGCTAAAACCAAGGAGAGAGTGGCTCAGATCTCTGTGCATTATAGAAGATGCAAGAAAGTACTACAAAGGTCAAGTGAGCAGATATACTAGAAACTACAGCAATGCAATTATTGGATATGTCATTATGGGTCACCACTGATGACTGGTAGAACTACCGCCACTACAGTGAGTAGACAGATGCAACTTTGGGGTTTGATGTTATTTAGTTTATAGGTCTTCTAATCAGTCCCACTCTGGCATAGACAGATATTACCAACTTCGGCCAAACTGCTCATAGAACCTGTACAGGACATCAGATTGCAACATCAACACATATCTTCAGATTAGCATGATCTACATCTTGAGACACTTACCAGTGAGCCTAGCCTTCCTCATAGCTAAGCAACCCAGCACTTGTTATCCTTGTATAAAACCCATGATTTTCTTGTCAGTTAGCATGTTTTTGCCTGCAAGAAACAGATAACCCAACATAAAGTAGCTTAAACAATAAAATGATTTGTTGGCTGTCATAACTCTCCAATTTCCTATGCCCTTATAACGTCGATTTCCAACACTGTTGCCCTAAAGTTTTCAATATATTTCACCTAAGCTTTTTTTTTTCAACTTTTATTTTAGATTCAGGCAGTACATATACAGGTTTGTTACCTGGGTATATTAGATGATGCTGAAGTTTGAATTATTCCATCACCCAGGTGCTGAGTATAGTACCCAATAGTTAGTTTTTGAGTCCTTTTCCCCTTCTCTTCCTCCCACCTTTAGTAGTCCTCAGTGTCTCTTGTTGCCATCTTTATGTCCATGAGACCCAATGTTTAGCTCCCACTTATAACTAAGAACATGTGGTATCCATTTCACCTAAACTTTTGAAGTTGTATCCTACCCGATAATTCTGCCACTCATTAATAATTTCCTACAATAGCCATTTATTCATTCATTCAACATTTCAAGTGCCTGCTATCCTGTTCTGGGGGGAAAATACATCATTGAATGAGTTATGTTGCAGTCCCTAAATTTAAGGAGGTGTGTTAGTAGGGAGAGGGTAGGCTATGGTGCAACATCAAATGATAACAGAGGTTTACTCTCTGACTATCCATCTTTTATAGAATGACCGTGGCTCTGCTCCATGCCAGGTTTACCTCAGGACCTAGGCAGATAGGCCTTGATCGGGAAATTTGCCCACTGGTATGGCACAAGGAAAGAAAGTGTGACAAGGCACAAACTGTTTCTCAAATTTTCTGCCTGCAAGTGACCTATATCACATTCATTTACATTTCATTCCTCAAAGCAAGTTGCTTGACATAACTGACTTCAATAGTGAGGGAATCATACACCTCTTCCAAGGAAGGCACATGGATATTGGTGAAGAGTAGTGCAATCAACCATGTGACATTAAAATTTAGAGCAGAGATCAGTACTACAGCCTGCCACATCATTTTGTAAATAAAGTTTTACTGAGACACAGACACACCCATACATTTACATATTATCAATGGCTGCTTTTGCACTACAATGGCAGGGTTGAGTAGTTGTGACAGAGACCATATAGCCCAGAAAGCCTGAAATGTTTACCATCTGGTCCTTTACAGAAAATATTTTCCTACCTTGATTTAGAAAAGCAAAAAGATATAAAATAAACTGCAATATTTAATCATGCATGTCCTGTGTTTATTAGCTTTTAGCAACAATGATGATTGCTTTCTTTCTATACAGACTGCATTAGGATACAAGGCATATTTTTGAAAAAATATTGGTTTCTGGTGATAAGCAATCTTCTGGTAGCTTCAAGATTCCATCCAGCATTTTTAAGTTTGGCAAACAGGAGAATACTCTAAAGCAAAAGTTAAAAAAAAAAAAACTATATTGAACAAAAGCATTTTATTTCACTTATTCTCTTTATAAGTGAATGGACTTTGCCTATTGTTATAAGGAAGATGAATGGCTATCACTTCATTCTGTGTTGCTTATCTTTGCAGTGGAGCTAAAATAAAATATTATTCATATTAATTGACCTGATGACCTTGCCATAGCTTGCCCTTTCAGGGATCTAATAGATCTTTCAGCAGGTGGTAAATATTGATCAGAGAAATGGGACTGTCTACAATCTGTTTTTATAAGAGAATTTCATTCCAGTTTTTACAGTCTTATAAGGGAAAAAAAATCAATGAGTGGATTTAGCCAACTAACCATGAGAGAAAGAATGAGATCATGATATATATGCTCATTACAAAGTTAAAAGTTTAGAAAGAGAGAGAAAGTAAAGCAAGCCCACAATATTCAGTGATAGTTAAAGAAGAATTCTGGCTGATAAATATAAAAGAGGGAGTGGGAAATAATATTATGCTGTTATTTTTTCCTGAAAGCGAGCACTTCTAAAGCTCCTATTTCAAATTCAGGGAGTCACTTCTATGTTCAGAAACAGATCCTTCAGTTCAATCCAGTTAACAGTGGTCATGTACATAGCGGCATTAAAAAGCAGCATTTTCTTTAGAATGACAGCTTTTCTAGATCTGGGAATTCTGAGGGCTCTGGCTGGGAGAAATCTATGGCATTTGAATTTGCCTGCATGAAAGATACTGAAACCTTTTAGCAGATATGCTAAGTCAGCTAATGATGGAACTGACCTCCTTGAAAGCCCCCATTGGCTGCATGATTTTCTTAACATGAATTGCTTCCTATGCATCTCTTTAAATCCTCACAACAACTCTGTCAGATTGGTTTTTATCCCTCATTTTAAGTAACTTATTCAAAATCATAAGGCCTGTAGGTGACAAAGCAAATATTAAAATCTATGTCTTCTGGCTTCAAAATTCATACTTAGCTGGCAAGAATTTCTAGCCACTGATTTTTTTTTTAAGTTAAGCAGTAATGAACTAATATCATGTTTGACTCCTAGAGAATGATAGAGAAGTTTGCCTGTAGGTGTCCCAGAAATGGGGCCACCTTCTAACCTACTGGGATTTACATTATTAGCTCTGTCATTAAGTCCTTTCTCTTTTGAATTGTGCTGTCTTCTTATTGGTGGATCTGAAACAAAGGAGGAAGGGAAAGCAGTCACAATTCTAGGTGATAATGGTCAAGAAAAGCTTGTACTTTAAATAATTCTGAGCATGGTGTGTAAAAAGAGTCATCTGAAGCTCTGGCCCAAATCCTCAACACAGATACCCAGTGACAAAATGAAAGCTGTTATAATCTTCAAGGTGTGGATTTTTGGCTGGGTAACTGAATCCATGTTTGAATGAACTTCTGATTCCAACTTAGTTCCTTAGCATGAGTGGATGCTTAAACCTTTTCTTCATACTCTAAAATGACCCCATCATTCTATTCAATGTAACCCTGCACTACCTAAGTTAATATAACCTGGCTTTTTCTAACTTGAAAGTCAGCGTATATACACCTTGGACTCAATCCAATAGAGTTAATACTGGAAAAACAGAAGAACCTCATTATATCCCTCATTCCTACATAACTCTATACCACATCATGAATTTTGTAGACGGAATTACAGTAAGACCTCAGGGCATATCCAATTTCAGACAATTCATCTTAATACTATTATTGTAAGGCATTCTTTGAAGAGAGGCAAGTGGCTGAGTTGGGACCAAAATGCTTTATAAAACCCCACATATGAATTAACAAAACTGAAATACAATACTATTAAATTATCCTTATGACTAGGACTGTGCTTTCTTATGAATGATGTTGAAATGTCCAGCTAAACCTCCTTTGATTATAGGAAATATAATTTTAAACCTCCAAAATATTATTATGGTTAAATATTAGCTCAATATTACAGCAACTGTGCTGCTAGTTTTCACTGTTATGTGAAAGCAATTTAAGAATTTATTATCATCACAGACATGAAATTTTGCTTCCAGACTCCAGTCATAGGGCAGACAACTGGAGTAATGAGATTTATGTAACAACAGAGATTATAATTTCTATTTTGACAAATTTTCATTGTACGTCAGGCGTTGAAGAGTCTAACATCATATAGGCTTCTGGAATACAGTTGCTGTTCATGGGAAAAGAGCAGTGTGAGAAAAGAAGATGGTGAAAACTACGTCTTTTACTGAAATTGAAGTAAACAAAAGATTGTAATCATAGGATATAAATGGACCCTGGAGATGATATAACTCTTTGTTTGACAGATTCGCCTGGGAGGGGAGATGACCTCAGTCATGGGTGGAAATACAGGTTGTAGAATTCAGTTGCTTGTTTTTATCCTTTTAATTCCCCTAAGTACACTAATTAGTGGTACTGGGAATTAGCTGGAGATAAATAAGTGGGCATATTACTGGGTGCACACTTCAAGGTTTAGGTTCCATTATTATCATTAGGAATGTTCCCAGTTGTGACAAAGTAATAAAAATGGTTTCTTCTTGGCAGGTTTTTGAGCTCTTTCAAGCACTGGAGTAAATTGAATTCTTCGTATTCACTTAATGTTGCCCTTGGGGCCCAAAGAGTGAAAGTAAAACCAGAGAATAAACAATTTATAAAATTGTCACATAGAACTTAATAAAATATATATGTATGTATAATTTTTTAAAAGACATAATATCTATTAAGCATGTGGGAGAAAATGTGGAATTTGAAAGTCTAAAATTAAACAACTTTGTATAGGTAAAGTCATTACAGAAGGAGCCTAAAAATCTGCACAGTAACTATAAATTAACCAAGAGAAAAGAGTATATTAAGAAAAAATTGTTAAAAGATGAAGAAAGATTAGTTCAAAAGTCTTTAGGTGAGATCAGAAGCATGAAGTGTTCAACATAGAGTAGATTCTATAAGTATTTGCTGGGTAAATTTGAGCAAGAGAGGGACAATATTTTAAAATATAGTTAAAAGTATAATATTCAATGAAGTGCAAAAGATGACTTAGTGTGTCTGCGGCCTTACTGCTTCCTGTAATTTTGGTGGAACTCACAAGGGTTCCTCTTGAGAATAAGGGATTCCAGTGGAGTGCACCGTAAACTGGAGAATCCAGTAAGAGTCTCAATGTGGTTTTCGGCCAAGGATAAATGCTGTATCTGAGGTATCCTTGGTAACTGTTTGAAAGATATGAGATGGTTTTTGCTCATATTTAAAATTCTGCAGCTGGATACAAAAGATAAACATCTTGTTACTTGTCTCCTAAAGAGAATGGTTAACTACTAAATCTAACATAGGACTAGCATGCCTTATGTAGACAATAACCCCTCAACAGAGTAACAGTGATGTTACTGTCATGATGGTCACATGCAAACTATGTGACAAATATGGTTTGCAAAAAAAGGAGAAATATTTATATTAGAATATTAAGAGAAAATAAGCAAGATATATGAGACCATAAGTTTGTGGAGCACAGGAATCTGTTTTCTTTTCCAATGAATGTGCTTGGTACCTGACTTGGCCCATGGTGGATTCTTGATATGTTCTGAATAAAAGGATGAATAGCTGCATATCATCGCAGCAATATAAAAGTGGACACACACAAAAATAACAACTTGTGAAAAATACTGCCTCTAAGTAGTGAGATTATAGTTATTTTTCTTACTACCTTTCTGTAATTTAAAAACTTCTATATTGAGAAAAGAGCATTTTAAATCAGAAAAGAGGCATTTTTAATATAAAAGAAAACTAAAAATATCCTTAGAAACAGTAAAATGTGTTAGGCATTTAAATTTAATACATTTTCCTGATAGATAATGCTTCTCAGTGTGTTTGCCTTAAAACTATAACTGTACATGACTGTGCAAATAGAGAAAATAATTCAAAATCTATCACTGACATCTTGCCTTAAGGAAAAATTCCTTTATGTATAAGTTACGATTTAATATCATGAGATAAATACAGGGTACATATTTATGGGCCTTGGGCCCCACAAAGACACTTGGTAAATGGTCATTGCTAATGGGAAAGAGGGTGCTGTAAAGAGAGAACTGCAACAGAGAATCATTAGGAAAAAAAATCCCTTTGAACCAACCAGATTTCATTGTAAATTTTTTGAATTTATTATTTTTATTTTTCTTGTTTCCTTTCAGTCCCTCTCCATATGTACATTTTATATAGCTCTCATCTTATCTTTGATAACTTTTGGCTTCTGCTTATTTCCAGAATTCATACAGACTTCAGGAGCACTTCAGTAGTATGACAATTTCTCATTGAAAAACCAGCCCAAGAAGTTCCTGCCCCCTGCCTCTCTCCCCGTTCTCCTCTGAAATCTGTTATTTTCTTGTTTACCAGTCATGCTCTCACTTTTTTATGGGTATCCTTTCATCCTTTCAGTATCTCAGATTCACCACATCACAGATTGCCCCAGTCAATAGGAAATGTTAGGGGAGAGAAGGGAGGCAAAGCAAGTGGATGGTGACACAACTTTCTCTGTCCTGGCACTTCCTGTCTGCCAGCCTGTTTGCCTCTTGTGTACAGCTATAATGGCCTCTTTCTGTGACCTTCTCTCAGCCAATGCTCAGAATTATATATTAACTTGGTCTAGAAATTACCTTTCCTTTTTGTGGATGCTCAATTTCCTTCATCTAATTCACTCCTGAGGACCTCTGTTGGCCCCTCTCATTGCCACCAAAGCTCACTCCACCTACGCATTCTGCCTGCTGAAGCAAATAGCAGCTCCCTGTAAAAGGGGTTCTCTAGCAATCCCTGAGCAGAAAGAGATTATTTTTAACAATATGAGTTTGGAATCCTTGAAAGACCAAAGAGTCTATATATATATATTTTATTTTTAGTTTATTTCTGTCTTTAATCTGATAACCAGCCTCCACTCCAATAACAGAATGTTACCCTAAAGGTTACTACTGTCAACTACCTTGTAAAGTCTTTCCCCATAGGTGTTCAGTAAATATGACTAACTAAAAATTAATTTCTTAAACCATAATGTATATGTCAGGTAATTGCATTTTCTAGTTTATAACACAAGGAAAATGGCAAACTTTTCTGCTCATACAAATAACTTTCCTAAAAATTGGTAATAAAATATTAATTTTAAAAATAGATGTTTCCCTCTAAAGTATGACATTCTGATATATAAATTTCTCTTTTGGCCTTGCCGTATGTGCCACTTTAGTGCAAAGTGTCATCTTTAAGACCTGACCACAGGGGGCCAGGTGCAGTATGTACAGCCAATGATCACATGTATCCAAATAGAAAAGACTTAACTTTAACCTGTTCACTAGACATGCTACAGAGCAGATACCTTGGCAATCTTATGGCACTTAAGTCCACCAGTGAATTATCCACTAACCAGAGGGTTTCAACTCGAATTAGTCTTCTAAGAATTCTGTTAAAATTTTCAACTTGGTAAGGATCCCCCAAACCCTGAAATGAAATGTTCAAATTCTGAGGAAAAACAAATAAAAGAAAAAAGTGAGGTTTTTGTCAACTTTAGTTATTCATTTAAAATGTATTGTATATATTAATTATACATACAAACACAATTATGTTGTAGCAATTTCCAAGGTAGGGAGGGTGAAGACCTTAATCAGAATTAGTGAGCAGCATACAGAGTTTGGGAGTGTTCCATGGGTGTATGGAGGAAGAAGGACCGGATTCTCAAGCAGATTCTGAGATTTTCTAGGGGTGTAGAATGGAAAGGATAAATTTCTGACTGCTTTACACGATCAGTAATCATTAGCCTCACTTGGAAATTCTCAGAAATCACATTTATAAAATTTTCAGAGTAAGATAACATCATTTGGAAGATGAAACCTATGATTTTGTTTAAAGTAACTAGAGATGCATACCTAAAAATGATTTGGTGTGCTTCAAAGATACTGAATATTTTATTTTCACTTTTAATATCAGGCAACTTTGGTGTAAAATACATTGCTACCACTCTCAGTGGTCGCATTGCTCTTGTAAACTGCATTCCTAAAAGTCAACTTAATTTTTTTATTTCCATATTTTGCCATCAATTTCTGTCAATAAAAATATTGAATAGAATGACAACCCCTTTTTTAAAAATTTGAGGCCAGATAATTTGCTGTTTTTAAGGAAATATAGACATTATCTTTAGAAAGGTTATTAACATCTTGATATTTTTAGATATTATACTTTATAAAATTTGATACTTGAAATTTTATTTTCCAAAAGCACACAAGGTCTTTATTTTAAAATAAAACTTGAGAAATGATAAAAGTTTATGTGTATCACCTATGCATTAAAATCATCTCCTCAGAAAAGTTTTTAAAAAAATGTACCACTATTTCCCAGCTAAGTTTTCTATGATAGTTTAGAGTTTATTTAGCCATTCTCTTACAGTATAGTTATTGAAAGGACAATTAATTTTTCTATGATAGTTTATTAGCAAGGCTCCATTGACCTTAAAGTATACCCAAGGTTAAAATTGCAAGTATAAAGAAGGAATGAATATAGACACCAAAATGACTACCGCTAAAGAGAGTCTGGGAATGGATGTCAAAGGCTTAGATGTATTGTTTAAATCTTTTAAATAAATAAGCAGATGTGTTGTTTATATTTGTACTAGATTGTATCCATTCATTATATATGAATAACTTAAAATTAATTTGAAAAGAAAGAGCCATACTGGGACATAGTCTTCTATTTTCTTATCTTTCCCTGAAAAATTGCATAACTTTGGGTAAGTCAGTTCTCTTCCTGGACTTCCTTTTCCTTTCTGAAACTAAGAAATTTAAACCAGACCCTATGTGAAGCTCCTTCTCATCCCCTAATTTCGTAATTCTATGGTATGTAAGTCTGTGAAGCAAAGGAGGCATCACGAGTCCTCAACAAGGAGTTTTAGGCTCTGTTTCACTTCTGGAAGACTTCTTAGACTTTTCAAGTATAATTTTATCCCTTTAAAATACAAAAATATTAGCCTCTCACTCTGTTATGAGGAAGTTGACTTATTCTTTTATTGCCAGAAACACTTGCCCCAGTTAAATCTTCAATCCTCTGCCTAAGCATGACTTGATCCAGTTGGAGTTAGGAGCTTGAGTAGTCACAGCCCCACAGCTTTGTAGTGGTCAGGTTGACTAACTGCGGGGGATGTTTCAATGCTAGTGGCTCAGTCAGCAGGGTGATTTTCAGCACCAAGAAATGAAAATCTGGCTCCCTCACTGGTGAAAAATTTGATTTATTCCAGGATAGCTTTGTTTGAGCTGGCTGCTCAAAAGTTTCATCCTGATGCATCGTTCAAAGGATTCCAGATTGCATTGTAAACTCATTGATATGGATTATTGTCCAACATTTGACATTTTTATTATTAACAACAATTTTGTTCTTCTCAAATATTTTAAACTTATTCTCAAAGTTCAGCAATATCAGCTTAAAATGAAGGTTAGAAAATATGTAACATATTATGATGAAAAGAAGGGGGAAAAAGAAACAGAGAAGCCTAAACACTGGGAGTTTTACAGAAAGCTCTGAAGAGATGCTAAAAGTTGTGTTATTTATTCCCTTTAAAAAAAAAGATGTCACAATTTAATCAATGGAAAAATAGGCTTTTTTTTTTTTTTAAATGAAAAAGGTCTCACCTTGCAGTCTTCCCAGTTTTCTTGTAGCCATGTTTCCCATTTGTTTTTTTCAAGAACTCTTTTCCTTGGGAGCAAGGCACACTCTACCTGTCTGAAAAGTTGCTCTTCTTCAGAGATTCCTAGATAAGAACCACAAGTTGAGATTTTGGAAGTATGTTTAGGGGGCAGGACTGGTATCTTCACTTGCTATTGGCCAGTTGTTTGAAACTCCCACTAGATATCACAACTTGGGGAAGCATGATTTGACCCACATAGTATGAGCAGTAATAAAATGATTTAACCCACTCCTGTCTTCCTAACCTGGTTGGGGGAAAGGTTGAAGACAGGAAAAGATCCAGGACTTCACCACATTTTTCATTTTCTAATAGTTGAAAATCATTTTTTTTTTAATTTTGCCAACTAACTTTCCTCTCATTTCTTCTAAGGAAAATTGAGCTAAACCTCTTATTTGACAACACTAAATCAGATTCACAGTTATGACAATAATAAATTAATCAAAATATGACTATTAAATATCTAAACCACTCAGTTTTCTCACTATCCTTCTGCTATAGGAGCCTGTGGCTGTGTGTGAGGGGCTTACTACCGAGCCCTCTCAAAACAAGATGAGTAATACAAAAAAGGGGAAATATGAAACAAATCAGCAACTTTATTTCTTTTTCATCTTCTTTGCTTAAAAAGCAAAGGAAAGTTTTTTTTTAAACTATATTAAGGCTATAATATAGGTTATAAGGTTATTAGGTTATTTAAATTGTTCTTTTTTTTTTTTTTTTTTTTGAGACGGAGTCTTGCTCTGTCTCCCAGGTTGGAGTGTAGTGGCGCTATCTTGGTTCACTGCAAGCTCCGCCCCCTGGGTTTACGCCATTCTCCTGTCTCAGCCTCCTGAGTAGCTGGGACTACAGGCGCCCGCCACCACGCCTGGCTAATTTTTTGTATTTTCAGTAGAGATGGGATTTCACTGTGTTAGCCAGGATGGTCTCGATCTCCTGACCTCGTGATCCACCTGCCTCGGCCTCCCAAAGTGCTGGGATTACAGGCGTGAACCACCGCGCCAGGCCTAAATTGTCCTTTTTTATACTATCCATGGTCTAAGTTACTGCAGATGACCTTTAGCTTAAAATTTCACTCATAGATTTATTTTTAATTCAGATTTAGCACATCACTATGAAAATGTGACAGTTAAAATATAAAATATCTCTATTTTTTATACCTTAAATTCTGGGCATATATTTCAAGGTTCACAGATAATTTAATTGCTTTCTAGAACTATTAAAAGGAGAAGGGAGTTACTTCTATTAATGGTAGAAAAAAAGCCAACAAGTAGAATTAACTTTTTTTTTTTTTTTTTTTAGATGGAGTTTTGCTCTGTTGCCTAGGCTGGAGTGCAGTGGCACCATCTCAGCTCACTGCAACCTCCACCTACTGGGTTCAAGCGATTCTTCTGCCTCAGCCTCCTGAGTAGCTGGGATTACAGGCATGTGCCACCACGCCCGGCTGATTTTTGTATTTTTAGTAGAGATGGGGTTTCACCGTGTTGGCCAGGCTGGTCTTAAACTCCTGACCTCAGATGATCCACCCACCTCAGCCTCCCAAAGTGCTGGGATTACAGGCTTGAGCCACCACTACTGGCCTAGAATTAACTTTTAACCATACATAAATATTTCTAGCCCAGTCAAGTGAGAACAATCACTAGTATAGTGATTTAATCTTCATATAATTTTCTCTTTGGGGATTGTGAAGTCATTCCTGATTTTCTTTCTCTTTTGTGTCTCAATTCAGTTAGTCACCTTATCCTAGCAGTTTTCCCTTTGAGAATCTGTCCCTTCATTTTCAATGTCCAGGTTCTCATGTCTTCCTACTTAAACTGTAATTATTTTCTCTTGAATCTTCTTGCCTGCAACATTCTCTCCTCCAATATAAACAACAAACGTTACCATACAACCTTCCTAAAACACAGCTTTTACCCCAGGACTCACTACTGAAAACATGTCGGAAATTTCTTCTTGCCTACAAATCCTAGCTTGTCAGATAAGGCTTTCCATAATCTTAACTCAACTTCCATTTCTGAACTCATTTCTCACTATTTTCCAACATTATCATCCTTCAAATAAGGTTTGCACACAACTTTCAGGGTTAGGGAAAGAATGTCCTGTTTGCAGTCTGAAGTTGGCTGGTAGGTAAATGTGGGACTCCAGATGACTAATTTTAATATCCTGATCTTCAGTTTTTCATGTCTGCAAAAATAGGGGGAAGACCTAAATCAAGGGCTGACCACGAACTGAATTTGGTGAGAAAACATGTTTGTTTGGCATGTATGGTGCTTTACAAAAATACTGATTTCTAGTACTTTAAGGACAATATAGGCTTTTTTTATTGCCATAGGCCCCTACACTCTCTCGTGCTTCCCTCTGATATTATGTCAACTTCACTCTGATATTATGTCAACCAGGCCCCTGAAAGCAACCCTACACTAAATTACTTCAATTCCCTACCAGCTCTATCATGGTGTATTTCTATGAGTCACATCTGGTATCATTTGCATGCACTTTCTCCACTCTGTGTTTCTGGAATGCGTGACTCCCCTCATTTCAAAGGTAAAAGAATAAAGGAAAAAGGACACTGAGGACATCAAAAGACAAACTTTGCTTTTGTGGCCTGTGGGCTTTTGTGGACTATGATAGAAAGTAGTAAGTTCATTTGTGAAGAGTTTATGGAAGGCAATAAGAGGGAGTCCAGTATTTTATTATTTCGGCACGAACATCAGTTCTTACACCGGGGGCAGGTGGAGGCCAGGGTGTAGACTTCCCTTTCAGTCATTTCTCTCATAATGAACTCTGCTGTTATCACCCAGGAAATCCTTTGACCCAGAATGAGGCAGTATCTCAACCGACTTACAAATAAAATATCCTTATGTTACGAAATGTTCTTCTTCATTGATAAGGATGCTTGGATTTAAAAATCATAGAAGTGGAAAACTGGAGCAATCACCTAATTGAGCAGGGAGACCCTCAGGCTGTATTGTCTTTCACCCACCCCCACTTCAAATTTGGCAGCTTTCTCTGTACATCAGATAACCCAGAGTTATTAAACTCTTCCCTGTATTGTTTGTTTGAGTGTTATTGATCTTCTGCTCTTTTAATTATTTCTTTTTAAAGTAGCTTTCAAAGCTTTCTTTGAAGTTGGGGGCCGAAGTTCACTTCCACTGTGAGGAGTTGAATTAAATTGGATTTTTCTTTTTTTTCTCAGACTTGGTTGGTAATTGAAGATATATCTTAGCAGCTGAACTACAGTCTGGAATATCTGACAGTTCAGGGATGTTGACTTTCACTTGCTCCCTCTCAGCCTGTTCTTTGTCCCCTCACTGGATTTGTAACACATAATAGCAGTCACTGAACTAACTTCCCGGGATATTTTTGAATGGAAAGAATCTATTCTTTAAAAGAATTCTGCCACCAGTTTACTTTTTTGCTTTATTTAATTGTGAAAATTTAAGTCAGTCTTGATCTGGCAATTGAAGCCTTAGGCAATTGCTGTTTATCACACACCAGATAACCTTTCCTGTCTTATGAGCTCTTTCTGAATGTACAATTGAGGCAATTGAGATAAACCGAAGTAGCTTTGATGGGTGTTTCCAGATCTAATCTAGAAGGAGGGTAATTCTTCTCAAAGTGCTTTTGAAAAGCATTTGTTCTCCACGTCACAAAACAAACTTAAACAAAATTAAGAGCAATGAAGGAGGGACATCTATTTCTCCCTGGTTTGAGGAGATGGGATTTTTTCAAATGTTTTCCATCCCCTAGATCACGCTCTGGTCCTTTTATGACTAGTCACTTACAAGAGATTGGGTGTTGTTAATGACCTACAGAAGGAAAATGTGCTTTTATCTCTGCAGAGCAATGATGTCCTCTGCATGAATGGCCACCATGGTCATTACATTGGATTGGTTTTGCTGAGTGATGACCTCAGCACATAACCTGGCCACTTAAGTCAGGGAGAGAAGGAGAACTTTGGACATTCTCTGCACAAGCTCATTTTCAGTTTACCCTCACATTTTATTTCCTTGTCATCTCTAGTTTCTGTAGTTCTCTCTAAACCCTGACCCAGCACTTGTGCTCAGAATACGATTTCTTTTTGCCTTATGATGGCTGCCACAATTATCAACCATCTGCCTCTGCACTCACACACTCATGCCAGCATTTTTACTTATCAGTCTATTCACTTCCTATTCAAATTTCTTTCTTCTCTCCCTTTCTTCATACCTCTTAAACCAGTGTTTCTCATAGTATGGCCTTCAAATCATCTACAACAGAATTCCCTGTGATAATTTTTTACAAATCTGGATTCTGGGCGCCATCCCTTACATCAGATTCAGTGGGCGTAGGGCCCAGGAATCTGACTTTTCACACACCTCAAGATGATTTGTTCACACACTAAAGCTTAAGGACTAAAATCCTTCCTGCTTTAGCCTGTGACGTAGCTCTCTCTTCCTTTTGCTGGAGGACTCCTGACACATGTGACACACTCAGCCACCACTTCTCTTGGTGTCCTTCCTTCCTAATTCTTCACAATTTCTCACTCTTGGGAAAAAAAAAAAAATCTTCCCAAGGTCCCGAAAGGACAACTCTGATTTATCCCTAGTAGTACTATCTACTCACATTTTAAAAATAGGAGTCAGTGCTTGGCTGCAAATAGAGCTGACAAAGTTGAAGCATAAGAACATATTTTACTCAAAGTATAAGAAAATTACGCTATTTTAGTTCCCCTTCTTTTGCCAACTGAGTTTGAGTGAAAGAAGACAAGCATCATGTGGGGATCCACTGAGAGGGAAAATGAGCAGATGAATAGACCTAAAGCCACTTTTCCTAAATCAACAGTAAAATTGTGCAATATACAATATTACTGCAAATCTGCTAATATAGATGGAAGATAGCGAAGATTTGATGTTTCCTGGAGACTAAACACTCACTGAAGCAGGAATTATGTCTAATATTATTTCATTGGCTTTTGTGGATGCAAAAAAAGACATGAGAAATGCATGGCCTCTGTTCTTACAGAATTTATAATCTATTGAAAGTTGCTTATTGAAATCAAACATTATGTATATCAAGGACTGCAGATGGCGGTTATTCAGATTGTTATACTATTACCCTTGTAAAACCTGATAGAATAAAATAATAATAGCAAAACATAGTTATTCCAGCAAATTTAAAGTGCTGTGTGAAAATGTTAAATGAGACTACCTGGTTTATTTAGTGTGATGGTTAATTTTAGATATCAACTTGACTGAATTAAGGGATACCCAGACAACAGGTGAAACATTACTCCTGGATATGTCTGTGTATTAGTCAGGGTTCTCCTGAGAAACAGAACCAATATGAGATAGATAGATAGATAGATAGATAGATAGATAGATAGATAGATAGATAGATAAAAGGGGGGTCATTATGGGAATTGGCTCACATAATGATAGAGGCTGAGATGTCCCACCATATGCTATCTGCAAGCTGGAGAACCCATGAAGCCAGTGGTGTAACTCAGTCTGAGTCTGAAGGTCTAAGAACCGGGAGAGCTGATGGTGTCACTCAGTCTGAGGATGAAGACCTGAGAACACCTGAGAATCTGGCGGCCTGCTGATATAAGTCCTAGAGTCCAAAAGCCAGAGATCTTCGAATTCTTATGTCCAAGGGCAGGAGAAGATTAGTGTCCCACCTCCAAAAGAGAAAGCAAATTCATTGTTTCTCTGCATTTTTGTTCCCCCTAGGTCCTCAACCACTTAGATAGTGCCCACCCACACTGGGTGAGGCAGATCTTCCTTACTCAATCCACTGATTCAAATGCCAATCTCTTCCAGAAATGCCCTTACAGACTTTCCCAGAAATAATGCTTTACCAGTTTATCTAGTTATTCTTAAATGCAATCAATTTAACACCTAAAATTATCCATCACAGCCTGTGAGGGCATTTCTGGAAGAGATGAGCATTTGAATCAGCAGGCTGAGCAATGATTTGCCCTCACCAATGTGGGCAGGCATCATGCAACCCATTGAGGCCCCTGATAACCCTGATGGAGTGACACTATCATCTCTCCTGATTTTCAGATCTTCAGACACAGACCAAATTTTACCACTGGCCTCCCTGTTTCTCCAGCTTACAGACGGCATATTGTAGGACTTCTCAGTCTCTATAATCATGTGATTCCTATAATAAGTCTCATCTCTCTATCTATCTATCATCTATCTCTTTAGATATATATATATCTCTCTCGATGTATAGATTTATATATATAGAGAGATGTATATGTTGAGAGAGAGAGAGGTGTATTTTATTGGTTCCATTTCTCTGGAGAACACTGATGAACACATTTAGATTCTATTTTGATGTTGTTGGAAAAAAACAATATAGAATTAAGTCAATGTAAAGTCATCAGTTGAAATGACAGTGTTATTTGTTATCATAAAAAATAGTAAATAAATTTCCAACAACGATTATTGGTTACATATATTTAATATATTTAATGATATTAATATGATGGAAAAGTATGCAAGCTTTAAAAAGTATGTTTTGGGTAATGTTTAATGGCATGGAAGAAATGCTGACAATATCATTCTGTTAAGTGAAAAAACTTAAGAAATAAAAATTACATATATGTATGTGTGTGTAAGAAGTAAATGGAAATAAAAGTCACGGTGGTTAATCTGGACAGTCAGTTACAGGTTCTTCTTTATCTTTCAATATTTTCCAATATTTATTACTGAATGTTAGTTATTTATATAATCAGTTATAAGAATATACCTTCAAAGGTGGCTTCACTTATCAACAATTCTATGGTCTTGAAAAAGGAAAATTTTACCTCCAAATGGTGTCTTTTTTTTTTCTTCAAGTAATGTCTTTTAATCCACAAAAAATTCTATTCAGAGGATGTACACGAAAAAGGCACACATTTATTCTTTTACCTTCTCTTACTCTTGGGCAACGCAGTTGACTTCCTTGAACGTCATGTCTACCTTGTGCCAAGTGAGGTACTTACAAGAATCTGATGGAAGCTTTAAAACAAGAGAGAAGAGAAACACTATATCATCTGGCAATATGTAGTTCTTTTGCTTCCGTGTGTAAAAGTAATGCAAATCCATGCCAAACACTTAGCCAAATTGAACTCCAAATATCTAATGGTGTGCTCATGGAAATCATCTTATCCAATCTAAATTATGTGTTCTTATTCAATTTTGCATCCCCAACACCTGCAGCTGTTTTACATTTGATGGTAAATGACAGCATGAATAAATATATGTACCCATTCATGATCCCCTTTAGACCAATTTATATAAATCATCCTTTAATATTTTTTAATATCTCACGAGCAGTCTCATTCCATTTATAACAGTTCTAATTGTTAAAATGTCTTCATTACATGGACCCTGCTTATTACATAATCCCTCTAACTTGCTCCAATTGTACAAGTTCTATTTTTTCAAGGCTGCACAGAGAATCCTTCCACGTATGCTTACTGTTTTAAATGTTTAATTATAGTTGTCATTCTCTTCCTAAGTCATTCAATTATTACTCATAGATAATGGTCTATAAATTAGTAAATATTTTGGTGGTTATTCTTGGAAAGAGTTTCAACTTACTGACATTGCTCTGAAAATGTGTAGATCAAACTGAATGAAATATTTCAGGTAAAGCTATCTTTTTCTGGACAGTATATTACTGACTAGAACATGTACCAAGATCACATTTGGGGCAATTTTAATTGTTTACTAACACTGAGGTTGTAGTCAATCAAAGTTCCAGTGTTTTATATAACTTGTTATTATTTCAAGGTTAACACAAACAAAAGGCACATTACTTGAAAAGAATATTATATTAAATATTTACACCATAGATTCATTCTTCTGTTAGCCAAAGTTAAACATGTGTACAAACAAACTCAGAATATTTAGTTTAAAAAATGTTAAGTATTTGGAACAAATACTCTGTTCTTTAGAGCAGAATTTGGCAAGTGCTGCCCCAAAATAAGTTGAGAAGAGCTGGCTTTTTAATAATAATTTAACTTTGATATTTTAGCTGCATTACTTACTCACTGAATGACCTTGGCCTTGCTCCAATAAATATCCCAATATCTTCATTTAAAAAATAGAACTAGTAACAAAAGCTGTCTACCTTGTTATCAGTAACACTAAAAAGTTAACTTATGCTTGAGCAATTCTTGGAGATATTCTGAGGATTTGTTAATGTGCTTTCAAGAAATGAAATCATCCTTTTGTACTATTCTTTTAGGAAAACAATAAACACAAAACATTTTAGATTACTAAGGAATATAGCCTACAACCTACTCTTGGCTGTTTGGTTTATATAATTATGGAAGCCTCTTTCCCAACACCTTATGTGAGTTTGGAATTTTTCTTTTCTTGCTTCTATTATAGAATAAAAATGTCTTGGAAGTTAAGTTACCTAGGACTGCCACACCCACTGCCTCTGTGTTATTTTATGAGGCTTGTGCTGGGAAAAGAAAAATTGTTCTAAGCTAAAGCTGTATTTGAGAGGAAAGTTTTCATTTTTCACCAGACATCTACTTTTGTACAAAAACCCGTTTATTTTTTAAGGAGCTAAGTGGTTGATTTTGGAACTTCTGACATTGTAGGAAAATGAGCTGCTGCATGTTTTTATGTATTTCTGTGTAAGGTTGTCAGAGTGGTGCAGCTGTGTGACAGTTGTTTCTTCCTAAAGGAAGAGCGAATATTTGTGTCTTGCCATGTAATTTTTCCTTTTTTTAATTCTGATGGGCCAATTGATTAATATATTGTTCAATAAACATTTTTTGATGCTAGCATGCTTCATCGCATTTTATTCAAAAATATATATTTTACCACATTATATGTCAGGCATTCTGTTAAACACTGGGGATAGAAAGTTGAATAAAACATGATAATTGTGCTTGAAAAACTAATTTTCTGTAATTTGGCAGGTAGACATTTGAATAACTCACCTTAAGCCAGAGGGATGGCTAGAATAATTATGTATGAAGGGAAGGGGGAAAAGGCGTGTATGATTCCAGTTAGATAGCTTAGAGAGAATGTCTTAGAAGTGGTGAGTTCAGGAAAAAAGAAAAATGTATCTTGCAGACAAAGGAAATTCCAGAAAGAAAGGAAAGGAAATCGCAGAATAGAGACAGAATTTGCACTCAGCAGGAGAAAGGAAGGAGTGCCATTTTGGCTTTAATGGTCATTATCTTTTCTACTCATCTTCTCCTCCTTTTTGATCTTCCTTCCTCCAATCCAACTTCTTTCTTTTTTACTCTTTGAATTGGAACTGAGAGTGTCAACTTTTCATTTCTCCTCTCACAATTACAAGGGTAGGGATAAACAGCTAATATACTTATTTTGAAACGTTGAATATCAAATAAAATATGTTCTATAAAATTATCATCAGGTAAAGAGTTAATTAAAAATATTTACCAAGGATGATATTCCAGAATCCAAACGTGGGTGGAATGTTCTTCTCCTTGATGGAGCTGACCCAGTGTGGGTCTCACTTGGATCAGAGTAGTATGATGAATTAGATGGACAAATCTCTTGACTACTTGTGTTTTGACCTGAGGAGCTGAGTAAAAGAAAACACTTAAAGTGTTCATATATGTGTTTTACAGCTTTTTAATGTAAATATCCTTGTTTAAAACGACAACAGACTGGGCACAGTGGCTCACATCTGTAATCCCAGCACTTTGGGAGGCCGAGGCCGGGGGATCACTGGAGGTCAGAAGTTCGACACCAGCCTGGCCAACATGGTGAAACCCCATCTCTACTAAAAGCATAAAAATGTGCTGGGTGTGGTGGTGTGTGTGCCTGTAATCACAGCTACTTGGGAGGCTGAGGCAGGAGAATCTCTTGAACCCGAAAGGCGGAGGTTGCAGTGAGCTGAGATAATGCCACTGCACTCCAGCCTGGGCAACAGAGACTCAGTCTAAAAGAAAAAAAAAAAAACACCAAAAAAAAACACAACCAACAACAAATTATAAGCATAAAGTTTTCCCCTAAAAGAAAGATAATACCGTAGATTTTAGAAGGATTTTTACCTCTTTTCATAGTTCTAAGCAAATTTTTATGGCTAATGGTCTCTTAAGACAAATTCTCCTCAAAGGTAAGGGTGGCTGCATAGACTGTGTGTCTTTGAAAAAGGCATCTAATAGTATACATGAAAACACACACACACACACGCTTATAAGATACCAAGGAGTACAGCCCTTATGTTGATGTTGGAACATCATTCCTAGTAGAGCTACAGCTGCAGATCTGGCACTTATAGCCATCCTTAAAATCTCTGCATGATTCTGGAACTTAAATTTTCCCGATATTTTCCCCAAGCCTATTATATTTCCTTAGATTAGTGGCAAATGACTTAAAAAGTCAGATTCTTTAATCAATTTTACTCACTTTGGAATGCCACTCAACCCTTTCATATAACAACAGTCCAATTCTCCTTGTATTCCTATATTTACACCACTGAGATGTAAAATATATTTTATACTAATTCTCTGGTTTATTATTCATTGTTATTCTTACACTTTTCCCTTTCTCCTTAGAAATAGTGATAAGTTTCTTTTTCTGTAATTGATGCTGTACGTTATGTTAAGCCAATAATTTTAAAATATTTTAATCTAAATTTTTTTTGTGTGTGAAGTAAAACTAGAAATGACATCTTTCTATAGTTACGGTCTCTTTTTTTCTCTTGGTAGATTATTTTTCAGTCGCCAAGAATCTTAAGAGAAAGTATTCTATATTTTTAGCACATTTATTATGACTCTAATAGCAATTTCACTGATAGGAAACTACACACTTCTTGTTTATTAAGGTTGCCTTCATGAAGTACAATGTAGAAACATCTTTCATTTTTCACTTATTAACTGAGCTAGTACAGTAGAAGAGCACAACGATTATATTCTAAAATAGCATCGTTCTTTAAAAAGTTTCATATTCTAAAATATCATTACTGTGCCATTAATTTTTTTAAAAAATGACCTATGATCAAGAAGAAAATTATTTCTCTGTCTGCCGCTAAATTCAAAAGTCAAGAATTTGGTCTTAATTATGTAAAAAAATCAAAACATATATGCTTCTCATTTCTGTCTCATTTGAGCAATTCTTTAACGGTTTGGATATTATTTCTTGAAATTATCAAAAAGCATCGTGTCATAAAAACAAATTAACAAACATTAGAGAAACAAACTCAAAATTTCTGAATTTTATTATTCCTAAAGCAGATAAATCCTGCCATCTAAACCTGGAGTTTTAGCCAGTAATTATGAGAAAAAATTGAGGGGAAAGAGAATATTATATCAGAGGATTAACAGGAGTGAAAGTTTAACTGACTTTTGGGTTCATTTGTCTTTACTAAAATATGCTAGCCATTTTATGCCAGAATAAAATAAGAAAAATAAGGACAATGAATATGGATAAATCTTTCTTCAGTGACTTGTGTCTTGTGATTACAAACTCCAACGATGGTTACACAATGAGGGGTTGGGTTAATAGAATAACTTGGAAGTCTCCCTCTAAAGTATGAGACATGGTTTTATCTTGCTTATATAATCTCCTTAAAGTAGGACACAAGGAAAATAAAGTTCACATAATTACAAGATCTGATAAGAAAGATCCAGTTGATTGGGTTTTTATTGTACCTTCTTGTGTAGTTTTGCAAGACTAAGCCTAACAACCTCAAGGTAAAATTAAGTTTTAAAGTAGAAGTGAAAATTATCTCATCATCTTAGTTTACATTAGATTTCTTTCTGGTTTAAACTAGAACTCTTTATGGCATTATCCCAGTAATGACCAGGCATTTATTAATAATAGAAGGTAATTAAAACTTTAGTAATACAAGTAAGTAGGCAGCTAACACCCTTACCATCTTTCTCTCTCTGTCTCTTCCTCTCCTTCCTCCCCTCTCTCCCTCTCTCTCTTTCTTCTCTCTCTCTCTCTCAATGCATTTCATTTTTTTCAGAATGGACAGAAAAATGAATTGAAGAATGGTTGTGTTTCAGCTAAGAAAATTCCAATCAATAGACGACTAGTCGGATTGTCTTTGAGTGTGAAATCTGCTTGTGGGCCCCAAAGTCTGGATCCTTTTCTCACATTCTTGTATTACTCCAGACACCACACCAGGGTACAGTGATAAAGGGCAGTGTGCTGGGAGGAGCTTGTGTTAAAAACCTCTGGGACATTCTCAGAATCTTAGTTCTGTCACTTCTGTTATAAATTCCATATGGGATTTTTCTTCAGTCTGCTCCTTTGGAGAAATCTCAGCAAAACAAGATCATTTCTGATCATTTAGTTTTAAAAATAAAACAAAACATAGGGTACCCTCCAGGTTAGGTTATATAACTCACTCAAACTTCTCCATCTACAACTGCCTTAATGTGCACATCATTGAAGTCAAAATGGCAAGAACTGCAAGTCCTAGGAGTTTGAAAACCAGTGACTACTATGACCCTCGTCAAGGCATTTAGCATAATCTCTGCTCCTCAGTTCTGTATCTTTAATATTCAGATGATAATGTGGACTGTGCCTCAGGGATAAGGTGTTTTGTTTTGTAATATTACTGCTATAATGACAAGTGCTGCTATTACTAAAATTATACTTTTACAGTTTACATTTATTGACATTTGCTATGTGGTAGGCATTATACTAAGAGATTTACATGAATTAACACATTTAATCATTCCAATCACCTAGTGAAATGAATAACATTATTTCAACTTTAAAGATGAGGAAATTTAGGCACAGAGAGAGAGGGTAACTTGCTCAAGTTACATTAGTAAATGACCAGTGATCTTAACTGCTAGAATTCATACAAGATGCAGATAAACTACTGTCATTTCTTAAATTACTGAAGAGATCTATCACCATTAGGGTGCAGTTGTTATTAAGAAAAATCATTAATATTGATTTTTCTTATTTTAATTACTTCACTTAAACACATATAATTGTACTAGTTAATAGAACATGTAAATTCAAGCAGTTATTATTTATTGAAAACAAAAGTTAAGCCTTCAGTAGTAGAACCTATGAGAACGCCATTCCAGATAACATCAAACTTTTTTTTTAAATGCTCCCATCTCCCCTTCCCAAAAGAAAATAAAACCAGACAAATGCAGTTTAGTTGGTATATTGGTTTACTTATTTTTAATCTTTCTGCCTGCAGTGAACAAAGTTATCATAAATTACAAATCTAAACCTTTATGAAAGAGGAATTAATTTTATTAATGTTCCAATATAAAGCTGCCATGGAGAAGGTACCATGGCTAAAACTGTACAGCATTTGTCAACCATGATTTATAGTGTCTTTAAAATAGCTGGCGTTATCTGAATTGGCCATCTAGTCTTGGTTGAAAAAAGGTGTAGAATGGATAACAAAAAGGATCAGGTGAGCTGAGACTGCTGGATGAACAACAATAATATAATGTATCAATTCGTGAGCCCTTTCAGCAGAAGATTGCAATGTTCTTTACAATCACAACTTTATAAGCCTCATACATTGTCTGCAGCAACGGTTACTATCTGTTTGATTAAAATGTCAAGTTGGTGATTATGTAACTTTGTAAGGCGAGTGAAGGAGGAAGTGACAGATGGCCCACTTTCTAAGGTGAAGTTGAGCTCTTAGGTTGCATAAAGATATGTTGAGCACACATCATACACAGGCCATGGCTCCTTTAAGACATGTAGGGTTGTCAAAATAGTATAGCATGTGACTCAGTTTCTAAATGTTCCATTTATATTCATTGCTTCAACATGAGGGCTTTGTATTTAGAAGGAAGGAAAGCATGTTCAACTTTATTTTTCAGTTAGCAAAGGGCACTCTTTCCAATCTCTCAGCCTCCTTCTCCTTCTAAAAAAATATTGAGCTGGAGTCTCAAATTCAGTGGGATCTCACCAAAGCCAGGTACTTCTGAGGCATGGGCTAGAATAGAATTACTATGAACTCTATAGCATTAAATTTGAATGAAAGGAAATGTGAATTCAGCCTCTTTGATTTCTCAGACCATTTTTTAAAATATTTAAAACCCAGAATTTCTGTCCTCTCTATGCTTGTGTTTTGTTTGTAAAATGGGTCATGATTGTACTCTTTACATGCCAGACATGGTAATGAGAAAATTGAAAGAATTCTCAATGGAGTTATCATAAAGTCAGGAAGATATTTGATATTATAAGTTGTCAATTTCTACACTGGCAAATTTGCTAGATTTTTTAATTTGAAGATTATTACTATATACTGATAGCTTTAAATTAAGTTGCTGGAAGTAAACATGTAAATTGAGTAAATAATTATTTATCAGTGAACTATTCTGAAAAGCTAGGTGTTTTAGAGATATTCCAAAAATATTTCACTTATCCCAAAGCCTAGAATTTCAACGGATGTGTCCTAAATGATTTAGATTGTTGATTCTAAAAGCATACAATAATAAATTTCAATTTTGAAAAATTCACAATTGCAATTGCTTTTTCTCTACCTCAGTCTGAATGAGTCAGATTTTATGTGACCCAATTTTTATTCTCATAAATTTTGCAGGTCTCTATTATTTTAGCCCCATAAATATTCTTATAAACATTTATAGGCCACCAAACTAAGGTACAACAAAAGTAAAAGAACAAACACCTATAATACTTCTCTAGAGGTAAAACTTGTAAACTTCAGTAGCTACTAGTGGGTTCACTGACATTTATAGAAGCAAAAGATATATTCAAATAACAGAACCAATGAAGATAGGCTGAACTATCTCTATGTTCCCTCTATGAAATTATATTTAGAAACTTTTAGAGCTATATTGTAACAACATTTATAGCTGCAGCTTAGGTGGTTTTCAATACTTGATGAATATCTACTATTCCCTATGTTGTTACAGCTTTGCAAATTTAACCACATACAGCACTATGAGCTAGAAGAATATAGATACTAAAAGAAAATATGTGATTGAGGTAGATCTTGCTAGCAGAAATAAAACTATAAAATGCCAAATGAAATGACAGTGTTTTAGGAAGGTGGGATGAATAAGATTCTTGTTTCATGATTTGCAGAAATGTGATTGAAGAAATACTGTCATCAAAGAAACTTTTCTTTTCTCCTTCCCGCCTTCCGTCCCTCCCTCCCTCCCTTCCTTCCTTCCTTCATTCCTCCCTCCCTTCCTTCCTGCCTCCCTCCCCTCCCTCTCTCCTTCCCTCCTTCCTTCCTTCCTTCTTCCCCTCCCCTCCCTCCTCCCCTCCCCCCTCCCCTCCCTCCTCCCCTCCCCCCTCCCCTCCCTCCTCTCCTCCCCTCCTGTCCCCTCCTTCCTCCCTCCCTCCCTCCCTCCTTCCTTCCTTCCTTCCTTCCTTCCTTCCTTCCTTCCTTCCTTCCTTCTTTTGCCTTTCACAATTTGAAGATTAAAGTTTAAGTTGTATCCTGGGTGTAGGCTGGGTGTGGTGGCTCGCCCCTGTAATCCCAGCACTTTGGGAGGCTGAGGTGGGTGGATTGTCTGAACTCACGAGGTCAAGAACTGCCTGACAACATGGTGAAACCCCGTCTCTACTAAAAATACAAAAATTATCCAGGTGCAGTGGTGCAGGCCTGTTGTCCAAGTTACTCAGGAGGCTGAGGCATGAGAATCTCTTGAACCTGGGAGACAGAGGTTGCAGTGAGCCGAGATTGCACCACTGCACTCCAGCCTGGGCGATAGAGTGAGACTGTGTATCCAAAAATAAAAAATAAAATTAAATAAATAAATAAAAATAAGTTGTATCCTGGGTATCACTCTTTTAGGCTGTCTCTAAAATCATTTTATAAAGATTTACTAGTTGAAAAATAACAATGCTGATAGTAAAGATCATTTTATATTGAACAAATAAACCTTTTGTTATAGTGTACTAAAAGAGTTTTATTAAGTAGAGAAAAAATGAAGTTTACAATTCTGCACGGAACTACTACCCATTTTAAACTATTGTTTTGTATGCTAATTTCTCGAAATTAATACACATTTAATTTTCAATGTTAAAATCAAGTATCTTGACACTGTTTGAGATATACAGAATTGGCTAAACAATAGAATTTCTATCACTCCTTTGATATTCTAATCCCTTACCTAAACACAATTCATATCTTAATTATAGGTAGTAAATGGAAGCTATAAATAAGTTTTGTACACTTTTATGAAACCACGATGTACTTAGTCTTGAAAATTGAAGATGCAAATATCAGTTTTTAAAAAGTGAGAGCCAGGTTATATACTAATATAAAATATAAAAACAAAAAAAATTTTCAAGAAGCATGCAAATCTCCAACTGTATATTGTTTAATTATCAGCATGTTTGAGAAACACTTACGAGACAGCTGTGAAATTTAGGAGTGAGGAAACAAACATTGGGTTTGGGCCTCTATTTAATCTAATTTGTGGCTTTAATGAGCTGGTATAAGTCATGTTTTTATGATAGTAATTTCTTTTAAACTGAAACACTAATAGATATTGCCTTTCAGCTATCTTGCCTATTTTTTTCATGAAAATCACAAATGCTTTCTTGAAGAGTCCTGTGTCTCTTAGACATACCATTACTAAAGGAGTAAGCCCACCTCTCTCCATCACAACAATGATCACAGAAACTGCATTGCATTTGTAACCAGGTATTAGGGGAGACGGTGGCAGTTGAGTTTGCTTCTCTCTTAAGGCAACCATAATCAGTAATGTAGGCTGCATGACTTTATGTCTCTAAAGGAAATTTAATCTGGTAACACTATCTACGTTTGTTTGGCTTTTTTCTCTAGCTCAACTAATGATGAAGTTTACTTTTAATTTAATTTTCTTACCTTTCAGACATGTCTTGCAGGTGCAAAAAGTCCTCTTGCCTTCATAAAGCTATTTTTCTGAAGACATTTTTCATCATTTTCCCTGGAGGGGATATGAGAGCTGTCCACTAAGAATCTGCAGCCTCTTTTGGGGGTCTTCCACGGATTCACTGTGACCAAGGAAACAAGCTGTTACCTAGCAACACGGCCCTTCAGGAGGTATTGTTACCAATCTCTTAGAGCTCATCAAAGGAATTCCTGTGCTCCTGGAGCAGCTTTAACAGGGATCATTGTTTCTAGGGAGTTGTCTAAACTGTGATATAACTGAACCTCAACTACAGAAACATAAATGTTAGCAGAGGGGATAAATGTCCATAGCATCCCTGGAAGGTTCGCTGTCTTCGGGTTCCATTATTTTTTGAATTGTTTGCACTGGCTTGGGTTTCTTGAAGTTATACTTGTGCAATATATCCCCCAGTATTTGGTTTCTTGCTTCTCTTCTGTAGAAAAAGAAGCAAAATGGAAGATATCCAATTCTTGCTTGAAGTTTGCTCAAATAAAACTCCTGTGATTTGAAGACTGGGAATTCTGCCTTGTTCATAACAAGAAATAAATAATAGATATTTATTTCAAAGCAAATTTTTTACAACTTTTCAGGAAAAAAAGGAGTATATGTGTACTTACTTATTGATCCAACTATCCTGCTCTGAGTGTCTGCTGTGTACATAGATAGCACTGTGAATTTTTAACTTCATGAGCTGATAAAACGAATGTCCTCTAAACTTGAAAGTTGTATGTCTCCTTTCCCAAAAATAGAAGAATGTAGCTGTGTTTTTGTGTACTAAGAAATTGCTGTCTGCCAAAATCATAGTAAACTCTCCCATAGTCTTTACTGCTTCAGAGACTGGTCTCAAACTCCTGACCTCATGTAATCCACCTGCCTCGGCCTCTCAAAGTGCTGGGATTATAGGTGTGAGCCACCATGCCTGGCCTAAGTTAGTATAATTTTTAAAAATTTTCAAATGCCTAAAATATTACATCTAAACTTTCTGGATACTTTTCCCGTGATAGGGACAGAGATGACAAATGTTAGACATTTTCCTTTCTTTTCTTCTCTCTCTCTCTCTCTCTCTCGTGTGTGTGTGTGTGTGTGTGTATGCCTATAAACTACAGAACCAATGTCATACATTTTCTTTACTCTTATCTTTTTTAAGCATCCTGGGAACTTTCCCAAGTCCAAAAATTCTAGGCCAAGATTATCCAAAAATGAATAAAACACAACTAAACTTACCTTTTTAGCTTTATAACTCACAACAATTGATCCAGACTCCTAACTGCTTTGGGCAAAAGCTATGTAATACTCCAGCGACTCAACTCTGACTTTGCTTAGAATTATCTTGGGTGCTTTTAAAAAAATCCAGTGTCCAGGCCCTTCCTCAACTAAACAAATAATATCTGAAAGTGGGTGGGGCCCAGGCATTCATATTTTAAAATGTTCCTATTATACACTCTCAACTCCTCACTTACCTGTACCTACTTCTGTGAAGCAAAATGTGGTTCAAGAAAAACACACCATTAGGCCGGGCACGGTGGCTTATGCCTGTAATCCTAGTACTTCGGGAGGCCGAGGCGGGTGCATCACTTGAGGTCAGGAGATCGAGACGATCCTGGCCAACATGGTGAAACCCCGTCTCTACTAAAAATACAAAAATTAGCTGGACATGGTGGCAGGTGCTTGTAGTCCCAGCTACTCGGGAGGCTGAGGCAGGAGAATTGCTTGAACCAGGGAGTCAGTGATTGCAGTGAGCCGAGATAGTGCTACTGCACTCCAGCCTGGTGACAGAGCAAGACTCTGTCTCAAAAAAAAAAAAAAAAAAAAAAAAGAAAGAAAGAAAGAAAAAGAAAAAAAGATAAACGCACCATTATGCTGACTGGTCTCACTCCAAAATGTATAACCACTCACCTCAAGGTGTTGTCTGGCAGTCACACTAAATTCTCAGAACCATTCTCCAACCTGCCCCATCCCACCCAGTCTAGTAGATGATTTTCAGTTGTTCTTCCTTTTTTTCTAATTTCCCTTATTTCTGCCTCCAACCTACTCTCGCCTAAACAATGAGAAAAGGATTTCCACAGGGTACTATCATGCATGTATCCACCTACTCACATCTAGCTGCCCACTTACTCTACTTTCCCCTCTAACAAGTAGGCCTTATCAGTGCTTCCATCTTCATTTGTGGACTGGGGTCTGTCACTTCATCTCTACTTAAAGTCATTAAACCAAAAAGTCTCTTCCTTCTCCATCATTAATATCTCTTCTTTACTGCATCATTCCCACAGCATATAAGCCTGCTGTAACTTTCCCATTGAAAACAAAAACAAAAGATACCTTCTCTTGTCCCGCTTCTCCTTTCAGCTTTCATCCCAATAGATTGCTTTCATGTCTTACAGCATATGAGAAAAGCATTAAAAGTGCTGTCTATGTTTGCTGCCTCCAATTCTTCTCTTCTGAGTCTCTCTTGAACTCACTCAAATATCTTCAGTTCATTGCTCCACTGAAATTACAGTTGGCAAGGTCATTAATGATTTTCAGGTTACTAAATTCAACGGTCAATTCCTAGTCCTTATATCCTTTACTTGAAAAGTACGGTTACTCTCTCCTTTCAGCACTCTCTTCATTTGGCTTCTAGGACTCTACACCTCACCAGCTGTCTTTTTACTTCATAGTCCCTTTTGCTGTTCCCTGCTCATCCCCCACCAGCTCCTAACCTCAGTATGCCCAGAGCTCAGCCTCTAAACATCTTTCTCTCTCAACTCAGTCTTATTTGGATAATGATCTTATGCAGTCTCATGGCCTTAAAAACCATCTATATGCTAATGACTCCAAAATTTATAACTCCATCCTAGATTTCTCTCTCTCTTGAATCTCAGACTCATATATTCACCTGCCTACTTGAAATTCCTCTTATATGTCTTAGATGCATCTCAATCTTAATCTTCCAGAAATATACCTTTAAACCTCCTGTCCAAATCAGCTGCTTTCGTATCTTCTGTCTATTCAAGCCAAAAATCTTGGAATTATCCTCAACTACTCTCTTTCTTTCAAATCCCACATCCAATCCCTCATGAAATCCTATGAGCTCTACTTTCAAAATGTATTCAGAATCTGATCACCTTCCTTCCCTTCATGGCTAGCCTGTTATGAGACCCCTACATTTATTAGTATCATTACAGCTGCTGCTTTACTGGTCTTCTGCTTCAGGATACCACCCTACAGCCTATACTCCATAGCACTCACAGCGATTCTGTTAAACGCAAGTCACTCTTCTGATTAAAATGCTTCAATGGTACCCCAACACACAAAGAAAGAACAGTATCCATACAATGGACTACAAAGCAACAATGTGTCTGATTTTTTAAAAAAATAATATCTATCTCAAAATTGTAAGTTACTTTTGAAACAACCACAAAACAATCAAGGTTTAAATTGACTAAAGTTCTTGCACAACTTCCAAATTGACTAATATCAGTTAAGAAAAGCTAAGCAGTTGGTACATGTTGTTAGACAATTAAAAATACTTTTTTTTGTTTCTCTTAGGTCTTAGGATCTGTTAAAATAAGGAATTTGGAACATGAGCTGTTAAAAAATAAAGGCTACCATTTACAAATACCTCTTGCAGAGTATGTTCTTAATATTGTGCAATCAAATCAAAATATGGAACTTGTGGACGTGACCTACCTAGCAGTCTCCTAATATTATACTTCCTTCAAAAACGATACAAAACAAAAAAGAAAGGAAAGTATATCTACAGAAAAACCAAGCACTCAGTAGATCTTGAGAACAGAGACTAGTAAAACTTCAAAATAACCATGAATTTAAACGTTTGGTATGTCTCGCATGCACCAGCTTCAGCCTTATCCCACAGTAAGACTAGGGCAAACCAAGGAAAACTGTGGGGAGGACAGGAAAGGAAAGAGGCCTAAAGTCGATCTAAAACTATCAGAAAGTACCATGAAAGTGTTCAGGCAAATCAGAGCATGAGCTACAGGGAAGAGACTTCAAAGTATGCAAGATGTGAAAGCACAGGCTTGATATAAAGGGGCCTTTTTTGAAACACAGCTTTTGGGAGAGAATAAAGGCAAGAAAAATAGTGAGACATACCCTTTGGCAACTAGGAGGTTTTGATGGTTAATTTTAGGTGTCGACCTGACTGGATTAAGGAATATTTTGACAACTGGTAATGCCTTACTTCTGGGTGTGTCTGTAAGGGTGTTTCCTGAGAAGATTGTCATGTGAGTTGGTAGACTAAGTGGGGAAGATCCACCCTCAATATGATGGGCACCATCTAATCAGCTGGGGTCCCAGATAGAACACAAATGCTGAGGAAAGGCAAATTCTGTCTGGCTTTAAGTGGGTACACTCTTCTGCCCTTGGACATCAGAACTCCACTTTGGATTCCAGGATTTACACCAGTGATTTCCTGGGTTTTCAGGTCTTGGGCCTGGACAGTTACACTATTGGCCTCCCTGATTCTGAGGCTTTTAGACTTGAACTGAGCCAGGCTACCTCCGTCCCCATGTCTCCAGTTTGCTGGTGGCTAGTTGTGGGACTTCTTAGCTTCCATACTTTCTTAAGCCAATTCCCCTAACACATCACCTCTTAGGTATCTATATCTGCTTATGTATATGTACATATCCTACTGATTCTGTCTCTGGAGAACCCTGCCTAATGCAGAGGTGAAGAGGAAAAGAAGAGAAAGGAAAATCTTGAGGTCTTATAAGGCAAAGTAGAAAAAACTATGTTAGAGGACTCACAAACCCTCCTGTGTTAGGCAGGATAATGGCTCCCCAAAGATGTCCACATCTTAATACCTGGAAACTGTGACTGTGTTACCCTGCACAGCAAATGAGAAGTAAGGTAGCCAACGGAATTAGAGTTGCTAGCCAGCTGACTTTAAAATACGAAGATTTTCCTGAATTTTCCAGGTGGGCCCAGTGTAATCACAAGTGTCCTTAAATGTGTAAAAGGGAGAAAGAAGAGTCAGTGTCAGAGTGATGTAATGGAGGAAAACTCAATTGGTCATTGCTAACTTTAAGAGGGAAGGATGCCATGAGCCAAGGAATGCAGGAAACCTCTAGAAACTGGAAAAGGCAAGAAAATGCCTTTCTTCTGAGCCCCCGGACCCTCTCAACACTTCAGAGTTATGCTTTTATGAGCTTTGTAAATGGGCTTCTGCATAAGGGTTAGATTGACAATAGCCTGTTAGTCATCAGCAATTCCCATGGAAATGGAAACCAACGGTTGAGGGTCGGGGAAGGGAAGATTCAGAACATGGCATCAAAAAAGGGCAGATTGGTTTGCAGAATAGGGTGGTGAGAAGCACGGGGCACTGGGAAAGTGAAGCGCACATGAAGAGGCTATGAGATGGTGCTCAATAATGAGTACCTACAAAGCAAGGTTACAGGGGTGGCCTTAAATACCTCTAGCAAAATCTTAAACACATATAATATATAATTTTCTAAACTTTCCAATTTTTCTGTGATCACTACGTGCTGCTTTTGTAGTCTGTTTGAAATAAAGTAGTTTTACAGAGCAGTGGCAAATCTAGTTTTATGCCAAGCAGACTAATTAGACAACAGCTTTGGTTTGGGGGGCAGGTGCCAGGTGCTCTGAAATGTTCAACTTCATGTTTCTCCCAATTCCAAGTCTCAGTCTGTTTTGAGATCCTGATAGCAGTAAAATGATTCTTACTTATCCTGACTGGACAGATGGTAGTGAAGGTGCTATGTAAGAAACCAAATATTATTGTTCCTGGGACTAAGATTTTACCATCAACTTAATATGCATTTTCTGAGTAACTACAAGGTACCAGACATCGTATTGGGTCTTGAGAACAGAGTGGAGAACACACAGAAGCAACCTCTATCTTCCTGGCACTATGTACAGATCAGGCATCTAATGCTAACTTACATCAAATTCACAACTAATTGATTAAAGCTGTTATGTCTATTATGATGTAGGTATACCGGGTGTTTATTTAAGAGCTTATTGTAGGAAAAGGGCCTAATCTAATTTAGATGTTTAAGAAATGACTTCTCCAAACAAATGACTAGTTAATTCATTTTCTTCTACTCTTTCTTCACATTGGTCATTACCTACTACCAAGTAACTGACAGCCATAGTAGATTCCCTGTCTATATTGTTCACCACTTGGTATCTCTCGTGTCAAACACAGAGTCTGGTATATCATAAGAATGAATGAAGTATTAGTTAAATAAGTGCGTAAAAGTACAACTATCTAAAGTCATCCTGCTGACATGGAAGATGGAAACAGTTCACAGCTGAGAAATGATTCTTTTTTTTTCTTTTTTTGAGATGGAGTTTCACTCTTGTTGCCCAGGCTGGAGTGCAATGGCACGATCTCGGCTCACGGCAACCTCTGCCTCCCAAGTTCAAGCGATTCTCCTGCCTCAGCCTCCCGAGTAGCTGGGATTACAGGCATGTGTCACCACGCCTGGCTAATTTTGTATTTTTTAATAGAGACGGGGTTTCTCCATGTTGGTTAGGCTGGTCTCGGTCTCCCAACCTCAGGTGATCTGCCCGCCTTGGCCTCCCAAAGTGCTGGGATTACAGGCATGAGCCACTGCACCTGGCAGGAGAAATGATTCTTAAGCTGGAGAACACTTCACAGAGTTAACTATTGGGAAATGTTTGTGTGTTTATGTATGAATTGTTTATGGAAAACATTTCAAGAGGTTTCTTTCAGTGGAAATTTATTTCAGTTCCCTCTTGACCTGGCAGCTTCAGAAGAAGAAGTGAGATTTTCCTGTAACAGTATGAAGAATAACTGGTTGGGAAACAAGACACAAACTGAGAAAAATTCCATGGTATGTTCGTAACATAGATGTATGGATCCTGCCTTATATTCCAATCTTCGGGGAGAAAATAATCAAGGAAAAAGCTTTTATTTTCTTCTTGGAAGATTAAATTGGAGATAAAGTTTTTCCCTTTTTTCCCCCAGGGTATGAATAGTTATGTTCTTGGTCTAACAGAGTTTTGAGTACCTGGCCCAAGGCCTGGCACATAATAGCCATTCAGTGGTAGAGTGAAACCAATGAAGCAGAAATGCTTGGGGAGATTGACTTTTCTAATCAGAGGAGAAGAAGATCTTACCTCCAAGGGTAAACAGGCAGGCTAAGGGCTTTAGCAGCACTCATTAAAAAGCAGGCTAAGGAAGGACTACACCTACTAGAAAAAAAAAAGAAATTTCTATTAGTTTGAGGTTTCAAATCCCCCCAAACCAAGACCAGTATCATGGTAAAGGCTAGGTTGGGGCCCTGGACAGAGTATGAGAATGTGCAGGTGGCATCCCTGAGGATTCAGAGCTTCAGTGGACCATGAGTGTTCCAGCTGCATAACTCACTGAATTGTCTTGCCAGTTTCTACACTGGCTTGACTGGGCATAATTCAAAAAGGAAAAGCTCATATTCATTCCATTCTTCTGGAGCTCTGTGATAGCATTTAATAACACCCGAATGGGAAGTCTTCCACATATAGTTACGATATTTCTTCATGTAATTGGTAAAAGATACAGGGTCTAATTGTTCTGTAACACTCATACCCATTTTATCTAGATGTTCAGTGGATCTATAAATCTCCCCCTGGTATTCATCATAGTAACTATAGCAAAACCTTCAGGTCATTAAAAAATGCCTTATAGTTTAGGCAGTAGAAGGAAGGCTGGCATCAAAATATTTTGATCAAAAAAGATGACAATGTAAAGGTTCAGTTGCAGCAGACAGTTTTTGGAAAGTAACTGGTAAAGCATTTACCATATCCTGAATTTGCACTCTGCAAACTTGTGCACATATATTCCACTTTCAGAATAGTTTTGCAAATTGTACACAAACAAACAAAAAAGGTGGAAGATTTTTAATAAAGAAATTGCATTTATAGATGATCTGTATTAGAATATAATAGATTTCCAGTTATAGTCAATTACTACCCGTGTTGTACAACAGATGCCTTCTATTTTAGTTGCTAATAAAGGGCTACACAACTCAGAAAAAAAAAAGCAGGCTAAGAGAAATTAAAACTTAAACTGGAAGAAATTGTTAGGTAATCATAAATTGTTATTAAGTAAATATTGTTACTAGGTAATTGATACCAGGTTATAACAACTGATGGAAAGTATGAGGTGGACCAAGTGCTTATCATTTTACATTTTTAAAATATCCTTTCTTTATATGAAATTTTCTAACATAAATAATTATATATACATATATTTGCATGTGCATGTTTATATATGTATGTATAAAATATAGTCACAGATTTTTCAAGATTTAACTCAATTAACTTATTACAAATTCACTGTAGAAAAGCAGTAGTTTCCAATTTGAGTATTTTATAACTATGCAAAATTTTAGAAAATCAATTGACATCAAATTTACAGTTTCTTATTTTCCAAATAAGGTCACTAAAACAATAGAAATATTATATATTTCATCATCCACTTCTAAAATGAAAAGATATATTAGTTAATCCAAATACAAAAAAACCCACTGTTAAAATAAAGGCTAATCGTTTAAAGTAGCACAATGTCTCATCATGAAACTCGACTATGTTTTCTTTGTGTTCCTTGTTTTCCCTTGGTTTTGCCAATGCTAACTTGTGGACCAGCCTTTGGGGCTTTGGGAGTCACAGCTCTGGAGTCCATTCTAGAAAAGAAACAGGCTGCTGAAGTAGCAACATTCTATTTATTTAGCAGATTTATCATCCTTGAAACCCACAGAGGGCAAAAAGGCACATCATACTAATGTAACTCATGTGTTGTGGTATGACAACATCATGTGTACACAAAGGATTTATGTGAGATAGGAAAAACAGTTTTCTTGCTTTCAGATAAGTAATGGCATAAATTAACAACAGGTCTACTGTGAAGACTTAAAATGTGAATACAGAATGGTTTTGTTAAAAGGTGCTGGAGAATAAACTAAAGGATTTTTAGGGTTGCCCAAATCTGATGTTACAGCACTGCTGATTCTTGGAATCTTAAAATTTTTCTTATACAGATATAATCTTGTTGAGCTTAACACAAGCTAATTGATACTTTCTAAAGATTTTGCTATCTACAGCGGAAATGGCAACTAGCCAAATGCCAACAAAACTCACTTTTTAAATTTTTTATTTGCAAAAAATATGATGCAATATTTGCTAAGGGTTTCATTTTGTTTTGCCAAAGGCTGTTTAAATCTCTGATGCTTCCCAGCCTTCTTTACAGGAAGGGAGCTTAATAAATGTTCAACATGTAGTGAAGCTGCTCTCTATTCTATACTTCTCTGTTGTTTTGTTTTGTTTTGTTTTTTCTTTTGTTTTTTGAGACAGACTCTCTCTCTGTCGCCAGGCTGGAGTGCAGTGGCACGATCTTGGCTCACTGCAACCTCCACCTCTTGGGTTCAAGCGATTCTCCTGCCTCAGTCTCCTGAGTAGCTGGTACTACAGGCACGTGCCACCATGCCCAGCTAATTTTTTTTGTATTTTTAGTAGAGACAAGGTTTCACCATGTTGGCCAGGCTGGTCTCAATCTGTTGACCTTGTGATCTGCCTGCCTCAGCCTCCCAAAGTGCTGGGATTACAGACGTGAGCCACCACACCCGGCCTACTTTAGACTTCTTTTATTGCACTCTAGTTTGAATCTCCAAATTCTAGTCAATAATACTGATGTTCGCCTATATCATATCAACCTTCAAAAAACATTTATTCCTAGAAACTCATCACGTTTTTGTTACTTTCCTTTTTGAAGTCAGTTAACCTGTCATTACCAGAAAAATCACTGCTAAGTGCTTATTGATAATCCCTAACAATGAGACTCCATTTGTGACTTTATTGTGTTGGATGTTCTTCAGATTACCCACCTGCTTTATATTTTAATGTGAGCTATCTGGGCTGATAGAAACCAATCTAAAGGCGAACAAGTAATTTCACTGAATCTGAAATCATTTTAATTACCTGAAACTAACTGGCAGCTCTGAGAGAAATGAATAAAAAAGATTATTATGATAAATACTAAACAAAACCCCAAAATTGTATTTTAAATAATTTTTTATTATTTTCTTCAGCGAATTACAAGGTTCGCTGTTCACTCTATTTCCATTGGCAAAATTTGATAACATAAATAAGATAAAGGAGGCCAAAATACCGAACGGTCATTGCTCATTAAATTACAAGATAAATCAATTTTTATAAAGAGTTTTCATCTCAGTCTAAATAAAACTATGTTCAGGTTGATTAAAAATTCCATCACCATTCACAGGCCTTTTAGCATTTTAGCTTCTACTGTGTGTGCTAGGCACTGTGCTAAGTGGTAGAAATACAATAGTGAACAGGTCAGATTTATTCAAGGAAGAAATATGGTGAAGGTGAAAGAAAGAGTAGGAAATTATTAATTAGCATGAAAAGTGTTACAATAAAAGTAACTAGAATGGTATGGAATCCCTTAGAAGGCACACTTGATCAGCTGAGGTAGAAGAGAATCAGAGAAGGCTTTCAAGAAGAACTGTTATCCAGTCTGACACCTGGAGGTTAAGTAGGAGTGAGAGAGGCAAAGAAAGGGAAACAGGAGAAAGGACGATACAGGCAAAAGGCAAAGGCTGGAGGTGAGAGAGAGCATTGCAGTTTGAGTACCTTTGGTAGTTTAGGGTGGCTAGGGCTTAGAATGAAAAAGAGAGTAACAGAGATGAGGCTGAAGACACAAGCAGAAATCTTTGAAGATTTTATATGTAGGGTGACAATATAAGTTATCATCTGAACCAAGACCCTTTTGAGAGTTAAGGGGGTGCTAGCAGAAGATCCTGGAGCTAAAATCGTAAACTTAATTGTCTCAGGCAAATCGAGATACATGCCACTTTATGAATAAGTTTAACTTGATTTTTATATAAATGAGAACTATTAGGGGGTTTTAATAATGAGAATGAATGATGTGATCAAAGTTGTGCTTTACCAAGATCACCTGACTGCATTGCAGAAAATGGATTGAAGGGAGGAGAACTTGAGGCTGGAGGCAACTTAGGAGAGTCTTGCAAAAGTCTGATAATTATACCAAGAGGATACAGCACAGGGGAATTTGAGAGACTCTTTAGAAGTTATTACTGGCATAACTAATTGGACATGGAGAACTAAGGGGGAGGAAAAATCAAAGATGTCATTTCAGATTTCTGACATTGACAACCAGGAAAATGGTAGTACCATGCACTGCGATGGGGCAGGAAAACATTTGCTTTAGAACATGTTGGGCTTGAGGACCCTCAAGAACAGCCAGATAGAACTATCAGGCAAAAGTGCTGTATTATGTGTTTGGAACCCAGAAGAGAGAGAGAGAGAAATTAGGGACAGATGTTTTAGCGGTTTCAAAAGATTTTTGAAAATTGAAACCATGGGACTGGATCAGATTGCTTGCAGAAAATGTGAAGAGTAAGGAAAGAAGAGAGGTCAGGACCAAATTGTGAGGAATACTAACCTTTAACGGATAAAGAGGAGACTAAAAAGAGAGCCATAAACAAGACTGTGAATGACTTGAGAGATAGAAACAAACCAAGTAGGATGCCTCAGATACCAGAGGAAGGGTGTTACAGGAAAGCATCAAAAGCTGCAGGAGGCATTAATATGAGGTGACTGCCTCTAGTGATCTTGTAAGAGCAAATGTAATGACATTAATGCAGAAGCCAGAATGCAATTTCCAAAACATGTGTGTCTTGTCTCATTCTGTTTCCCCTTTCTGTAACTCTTTTGACACTTTAACATTTTACTTCACTCAGTCCTTTTGGTCCTTCAAGGTAATTAGACCACATTGCTCCCTTATTGTTTTGTGCTTATCTTCATTGTATCCCCGTATTGTAGGTTTGTTGAAATAATAATTTGTTAGTTTTCCCAATAGGCAGTGGGCCTCAGAAGACAAAAAATATTCATGATTATATCCCCAAGTCTTAGCATAGGACTTGCCATAGATGTGAGCTATTTAGTAAATGTTTATTGAATTAATCCAAAAGGAGGCAACTATTCCTGAAGGTCTATAATTCAATGTGAAGTGGTAGTTCAGAAAGAAATCGCTCTAACATAAAAAAACAAGTAAAAACAAATTTTATTATAACTACACCCATTTAACTATATCTACCAACTAACTCTTCTACATTTAGTTCTTGTATTTGCTTTCCAGCTCTTTGAGTTTATTTGTAATAAGAGAGCTATTTCATTAAATCTGTATATTCAGAATTATAAGTGAAAAAGGCTCGCAATTTCAAATTTACTCACTATTTATTTCCTGGGTATCTGTTAGTACAGGGTAAGTTTTGTTGAGATGTAATATTGTTTTATTGCACTTAAAGAGATCTACTAAATGCTTATCTTTCAAAAGTTGTAATAATTAGATTTTTTCAATTTTCATGCATCATAGACAAAAGTATGATGTCATATTTATCAAAAAAGGCAATGAAATGTCATTGAGATATTTATAGGGCAATCAGTTACCTGTCAACAAAGTATAATTCAAATCTCATTTTGACTTTTGTCTGTGAAACTATTATGACTAAATAGAGAATTAAATATATTTTGTCTATGTGCTTTTTTGTAAGTTAAATCAAAGGTAGAAGGAAAAGAGCAAGAAGAAAAAAGTCTTACAATTTAAGTCCGAATCCTATTCACCTCCAATAAAAGTAATTTTTCAACCACATTAGAAGAATAAAAAGATGTATTTTTAAAAATTTAAATACAAGGATATTAGCAAAAGTCATCTAACTTTAAAATAATAATTTAGATGCCAATCACATGGATGTAAACTAATAAAGTAAATAAACAAATTACTGAGAAGTGGAGATTCTTCCATCCAATCCTCTTTCCTCCTTTCTTCTTTCCTTCCACAGGATTTACTGTATGAAGAAGTGAAATAAAATAGCTGAGTTAGTTTTGGGCAATGTTTCCACTCTTCCGGGAAGAATGAAGTACATATGCAAGTATGAACTACAAAATATTTATTGTGTAATTCACATAAGTTATATGTACCTTAAGGACAGTTTTTTTTGCTGATTTTTTGCACGAGGGAGCCCCACATTCTCATCCTGTGCCCGGCCCCACAAACTATGACCTACAGGAAGAGTATGGTGTCCTGAAAGTGAAGAAAGTGCTTTCCAGATGGGGGAAAAGGTCTGTCAACTGTGTCAAATGCTGGTGAGACTTGAGAGAGATGAAGACTCAAAATTTATCATTGTTTTTGGCATGGAGACTATCTAATTAAGCTAATTCTATCAGCTTAGATGGTAAAGTATATGTGCATAATAGTTTAACTCTCATAAAAATAAGGGAGGAGGTATTATACATTCACTTTTACCTGTGACATTTTCATTTAAAGATACCGGTTTTATTTATTCTAACTATATCTGATGTACAAATAAATTAACTTTTGTTTAATGACAAAATAGAATCACCCTAGAACTGAAATAATTTAATAACTATAATTATACTTTGTTTATGTATTCTGTTGTGGCAGGTAAACATACTATTTTATTTTTCTTTCTCTTTTTCTTCTTTTCTTTCTGTTTTTATTTTTCTCCTTTACTTTGAAGATGCCTACACTAAAAGGATTGAATTATTAGATCAAATCTGGCACTAAAAATAATAGTTCATCAAAGAAAATCTATATTTTCCTACTTTGTTTGCAACATGAAGAGAGAGAGATGAAGTACAATGATTTGCCCACCTCCATGTTATTATTTACATAAAAATAAAAATTTCTAGTTTAATCATATAGTAGCTCAAGTCAGCCACTAGATGGCAGATGTTACCATATTCAAGAAACCCTTTCCTTACAGAAAACTGTTTATAAGCTCGTTTAGAATAACAAGTTGAGGAGAAAAAAAAATTTGATTGATTCATCCTCTCCATCCTTCCTGCTCTTGAAGAATTCATTTTGGGGCCTGATTTCTATGACAGTTTTCCTTGCTTAGAGATGGAAGGATTAAACCTTTCCCCTATATATAAGATGGATGATTCTGAAAGTAATTCTGGAGTCTTACCAACTCCATAAAATATAAAGTAGAATCACAAAACTGGATAATAAATTGCATTTAAATGACTATGAAGATGAATGGCAATGTTGCACTGGAACGTTTTCAACCAAGACCAAATGGATAACCCCACTGATGCTTCTTATATCTTACAAGGAAGGAAATGACATACAGATCAAAAAGCAAAACTAGGTATTTACTTCTGTGTTGTACTAGTTACATTACATTTTAAAAATGTTGACATATTGTTTGTTCATTTGATCACAATGTTGGTTACTTATTCCTTCCTTATATGGCAATATGTAAGCAACATCAGCTTGTAAAATGGGAATCTTTTTAAGCTTATAAATACCCTAAAGCATAAAAAACATTGATCTTTCTCCTTTTTTTTAGAGACAGGGTCTCACTCTGTCACCCAGGCTGCAATGCAGTGGCAAAAGCACAACTCACTGCAGGCTCCAACTCTTGAGTTCAAGCAATCTTCCCTCCTCAGCCTACCAACTATCTGGGATTACAAACATGCTGATCTTTCCTAATAATAATTAAGGGCATTCTTGCTGTTTGATAATTTTGTGAATTTTTTTATTAAAGTAGCTGTTGATATCTTGCAATATTTCATACCCGATAACTTTTTGTGGGGGAAGATGGGTAAAAATTAAAAGAATGGGAATTGATTAGCATGAAGAAATTTTGGAACTTAAAGAATCAGGGTCAGAAAATAAACCAAATTTCCTCCCCGAACTCTCCATCACTCCTGAGACACATGCCACGACAGGCTCTCTCCTTGGTTTTCCTTTCATCTCTCTACCTGCTCCTTCTCAGTCTGTTCCTTGAGGTCCTCTTCTGCCTGTTTCTTAAATTCTTTTGCTCTCAGCTCTTTTGCTTCTCACACTTTACTATTGCTGTATGCACTCTTGAAGGATAATTTAATTCTTTCATCTACAGTGAATACACTGGTCTCTCTTCAAATCCTAGGAGTTCATATGGCTATAGCTGGGCTCTGGCATTAGACTGCCTGGGTTTGAATGCTAGTTCCACCATTTAATCATAGGTGATCTTGATAAATTACTTAACTTCATTGTCTTAGTTTACTGTCCTGTAATTTGAGAATGTTAATAGTCCTGCTATCTTGTTAGGTTAGACTAAAGCAATTTTCATAATGCATTTACCACAGTATCTGGCAAAAAGTGAAAACCTAATACATGATTCCATGTAGGGCTCTTTCTTAGAAAATAGAGCCAGGCCTACTGGATGTCTCCACTCAGATGTCTTATAAAAACCTGAAGATGATATATCCAAATCTTTTGAATCAATACCTTACTTACCTATCCCCAAATCAGTTCTCTTTCCTAAATTCCCTGTTCAAGTTAGTGGCAACAATAGTAGGTAATTTTGTCTCTCTAATCTCTCATATTTATTTAGTCCCTACATCCTGTTGACTCTACCTGGTAAGTATCACCTAGGCTTATCTTCTTCAGTTAATTCCTATTCCTTAAGATTGTTTAAATCCATTCATTAAATGAGTGAATGTATTGTCAACTGTAATGGGATCTGTAGACATGCTAGTGAAAAAGGCAGTGAGGCCCTGTTCTCCCTGGATTTATAGACTACTGAAAAGAAGGCTGACATAAAACAGAGAAATTACAAATAACTCTTACCTTAATTTGTCTCCTCAGCAATTCCTCACCTAGATTGTTAACATTATTTTTCATTCTCTCTTCTTTCTACCATATCTGTCAAAAATTGCCAGAATTTTCTCCTTAAAACCAAATCTAAATCTTAAAATACTATCCAAAATACTCAACAGCCCAGTTTTAAAATTATAGACATGATCAAATCATATCCATTTAAGTTATTAAGTTATTCAAAGATAGCCTAGTATTAGGAAATCCATTATTATAAGTCATTAAATTACCAAGCTAAAGAGAAAAATTATTTGATTATCTTCATTAATGCAGTGGATGCATTAGACAAAATGTAACACCCATTCATGTTAAAAATAATCAGTAAATTTTCTTAGCATATTAAAATATATTTACATCATCCCAAAAGCTTTGGAAACTTTAATGTTTAATATTTAACATTATAATATTTATTCTTGAAAGGCAGGAACAAAGCAAAGATACCTACTATATCCACAACATTTAGCATATTGCAGACACTAACTGTATTAGTATACAAGGGCTGCCATAACAAAATACCTTAAACTGGGTGCTTAAACAATCGAATTTATTTTCTCACATTTCAGGATACTGGAAGATCAAGGTGCCAGCAGGGTGGGTGCCTGGCAAAGGCTCTCCCCTTGGGTTGCAGGTGGCTATCATCTCACTGTGTGTTCCCATGACCTCATCTTTGTGTGCATGAGGGGAGAGAGGGGTGTGTGTGTGTGTGTGTGTGTGTGTGTGTGTTGTGTGTGTGTTTGTTGGGGGAGTGAAGGGGGATGCTAGATAGTATATTTCTCTGGTGTCTCCTCTCATAAAGACACTAATTTTATTGGATTTGGGCTCAACTCTTGTGGCTTCATTTAATCTTAATTGCTTCCTTACTCCAAATAGAGCAACACTGAGGGTTAGGGCTTTAATATATAAATTTTGGAAGGAAACAAACATTCAGTGTTTTTGTACGTTGATACATTAACCAATGTAATCATCAAGCATGAAAAAGCAACTAATGGGCATCAGTTTGGGAAACAGAGGTAAAACTATTTATTTAGAGGACATGTGATTATATATCTGGAAAGCTCAAAAGAATCCATGGGGAAATATAACAAACAATAAGAGAATTCGATAAAATAATGTTATAAAATGGCACGTAAAAATCAATAGCATATATAAGTATATATGTATACATATATATAAACAAAAACAGTGAGAATATATAAATGAATAATAGATCTCATTTGTGATAGAAAATAGAGAAAAAAGAAGAAAGCACCTTGGCATCAACTTAATCAGAAGTGTCTAATATTTATAAGAGCAAAACTATAATGTGCTTTTGAAAGAACTAGTCACAAATAAATGAAAAGAAATACCATCATCTGGGAGAGAGAGAAGGAAATATCATAAAGACGTTAGTTCCTCTTACTTACTTAATACATTAAATTTGATCTTAGTTCAATGTCTCCAGGCTTTTTTCTAGAGTTAAACAAATTGATTATAAAGTTCATTAGGAATTTAAAAACAAGTAAGAATAACCAGATAAACTCTAAAAAAGAAAAGCAATGTTCAGGACAACAGCTGGAAGGAAAAACTATATCAGATTTCTTTAGAAAGTACTATTAAAAACTTTATTATTTAAACAGTTTGATATTAGCACATGAATAGGCAGACAAACTAATGAAAAGGTAGAAAGTTCAGAAACAAGATACAATCACATGTGACCATTTAGTATGCTTTATAGGTAGCATCTCAAATTGCTGGGTAGAAGATGGACAGTTAAATAAACATTGCTGAGATAACTGGATAGCCATATGGAGAAAGATAAAATTGGATCCATTTCTTACACCATAATCCAGGATAAATTCCCAATGGATCAGATATTTAAATCAAGGCTTTAAAAAGGAACTGTACATGTATTTTTAAAAAGCAGTTATGAATTCTTCTATATTCTGAAAATGGGGAAACATTGCTTAATATGACTCAAAATCTAGAAGACACAAGAGAAATAACATATATTTTGTTATATAATTTTTAAAATTTTTCACTGTAAAAATATAACATAAGCAAAGAAATAAATACAAATCATAGCATGGGAACAAATATCTTGCAAACTATACCAGAAAAGTTAGTAATACTAATACCCAATACAAAGATATTCATAAAACATAAAAAGTTTTAAAGATTGAGAAGAAAAATGCCAGGAATTCTATAGTAGAATGGACTGGTCTGCAGAAAATTGATGATAATAAAAAAAAGGATTTTTTTTTTTTTGAGATGGAGTCTTGCTCTGTCACCCAAGCTGGAGGGCAGTGGTGCAGTCTCGGCTCACTGCAACCTCTGCCTCCTCCTGGGTTCAAGCAATTCTCCTGCCTCAGCCTCCTGAGTAGCTGGGATTACAGGCATTTGCTACTATGCCCAGCTAATTTTTTTTTTTTTTGTAGTTTTAGTAGAGACAGGGTTTCCCCATGTTGGCCAGGCTGGTTTCGAACTCCTGACCTCAAATGATCCACCGACCTCGGCCTCCCAAAGTGTTAGGATTACAGGTGTGAGCCACCGTGCCTGGCCAATTGTTGTTAACCATATGAAAAGTTGCCCAACTTCACCCATGAAGGGATAGTTATTGACTCAGGGTGATGGTTACATGGATGTTCATTACCTACTTGCATACGCACATCTGATTGTGTCACTCATCTAGTTGTGAGCTGCAGATGGCTTCTCAAAACCTGTAAGATAAAATTCTAACAACTTAGCACAGCATTTAAGAATTTTTAGTCAGTATTCTGCCAAGCTGGTTAGCCTAATCCCTCACTGTTACCCAACTCCACATTATGCTGTGATCACATCAAAAGTTCTGTTATTCCACAAATTTGTCGTGTATTTTTTTCATACCATGCCTTTGCACCATGCTATTTCCTCTGTCCATGATGTCCTCTCCTTTCTTTTCTGCTTGGGAAAATCCTGTGAGTCTTTGACTCGAATGTCCAACTTTCATGTGAAGCATTTTGCTTGCTCCTTTGAGTTTCCACAACACTTTATTCAGGCTTTGATTAAAGCACTTCTTACGCAGTTGTGTAGCAATCGGCTTTTATGTATGCCTCCACCATGGAGAGAGGTATTTTTCTTGCCCCAATCTCCCTAGCCAATTTCCAGTGCCAAGCAAGCTGCCTGGCCACAAAGAGACATATAATAAATTTGTTGAATACAATAATTTTTATGCAGTTGCCAAAGAGACGTCAGCATTTCCTATACAAATCTTCTTTCAGGAAGATGTCAAGGGGAATGGAGGCTGGAAAGCGGATTCTTACAGATTATGTTTACTTGACAGCCTGAGTTTTGGCTGTTAGTCAGGACTCTTTTGGTTACAGGACAAAAATTCAACTTGAATCAGCTCTGAAATTGGCAATTTATTTGCTTCTAAAACCACACCTTGGAAATGGATTTGGTTTCAGAAGCAGTAATTTTTCTCTCTCTCTCATTCTGACACACACACACACACACACACACACACACACACAAGCACACCTCTGCTTATTGCTGATTGCTGCCTTCATCATCTTAAGCCTATGATCTCCACAAGGCAACAACTGGCAACAGATAACTCTAGGGTCATATGCTTGCAGCATTTGCAACTAATAAGGAACAGAGCTACTTCCTGTCAGCTGTGGTTTAAAAAATTCCATCAAACTACTCCAACTGCCCTGAGTCATGCAAGTATCGCTAGGCTATTTTCCATGGCAAATAAGGTGGAGTATAGGATTGACCTCAGTCTGGTACCATGCCTGTTCTGGGAATGGGATAAAGTGATTGGCAGCTTCCATCAGAACTATATTTTGGAGTGCAAGAGGAGCAGCTTCCGAAGAGAATAAAGACTTCTTCTTGCCTACAGAGGGATAATTCTCCACTATAGATATGAAGAAATGGACAAGATGAAAATGTTGGAAGAAATATTATGTAATTTTTATGATTAAACCTTTCATATTCCTGATATATAAATATTGTAATTCAAACACATTTTAAAAGTTTATCAATCAAAATAAAAAACTGCTCAGGAATCTCATTTGTACTCTTTCATCTTTTGTTTTCTTTCCTCTAATTATTCTTTAAATAAGGATCTACCTAAAGAGTACAATTCTCTAACATGAGCTTTCTAAATTTCATAAATTTTATTCTTCGTCTCTTATATTTATTCTTTTACTGTGCCTATTTCTGCTAAAATCAAAGAATATTCAAAAAGAAAAGAAAAAACTGAAGAGAAAAAGTTTTTCTTATCTATGAATGAGTTACTGCTCAAGGATATTTTGAGAGTGGAAAAAAATGGAGCAAGCATGTCCATGTTCGGTCTTAACCGAATTTTCTAAGGGTACTTGTGAAGTTGTTAAAGGTCTATATCCAGAAACTTGGGCTAGCTGGCAAGTATCACCACCCCACTCTGGGAACAATGTGACTGCAGGTAGAAAGGGTGATTGTAAGGTGTTACCATGCTGGCTTGGTAGCCCCAACAAGCAGCTTTTTCTTGGACTAATATGATCTGCGTACATTTGAGTGCCCATTATGTGCAAAGAATTGTCCTACAAACTGTGGATGGATAAGAGAAATTCCTGATGAGATTAACCCTACATAGAAAGAGAAATATGAAAAACTGTGGGGTAGGATTTTAAAATAACAACTGTTCTTTTGCAAATTAAATACTTTAATGTAAAGACACATTTTACTTAGCCTGTCTGTATTTTCTGCGTTTTTTTTTTACAATAAACATATTTCAAGGTTCATAAAATATAATGAAATAAATAAGTTATTCTAAAATATTAAAGGATACACCTCCTCTGGCATCAAATAAGTTCAAATCCCATTTCTGCCAGTCACCAGTTGTGTGAACTTGGGCAAGTTGTTTAATCTACCCAATAACACTGTGAATATTACAGAAGATAAAATGTAATAAAGTGGTTGATACTGTGCCTGGAATGTAGAAGTTGGATGAAATAGATTATGTTCATCGTTCTTCTTATTAATGTGAAAGACAATCTTAGTTGAAGTCTAGAAAAAAATAAAATCTAGAAACAGGTGGTAACTGACCCAGTTTATTCTTTCCCAATATTTGCTCAAGTATGAATTCTCTAGGCTCTGTCAGCTTTATACTCAACTCACTCAGAAAGCACCTCAGAGTTCACTGTCAGGGGGTGTCCAGGGCTTGGGTTGCTGTTGCCTCATGTTTTATTTCTAGTAGCAGGAGCTGGCTAAAACTTCAGCCCTGTTTCTAATTAGAGCTTTAGAACTAAGTGACATTTGCCATCATGTGAGTCCAACCTTGGGATTACTGTGGTCAGTATGTTTCCCTCTAATTCAATCTCAAGGAGGGAATAAAATGGTAGTTTTTCTTTTACTCCTTGTTTTGGCAACTTTATTTTTCAATTAAAGGTTATTCAAGGTGAAAGTGGTGAATAGTGACAGCTTCTTGTTTGCCTCTCCTTTGTTCTTCCCTCCCACACACCTAATTCTGGATGGGCTTTTGGCAGTTTCTTCCACACAGTGGGGAAGTCAACTGCTGACTCTTCCCAATGTTTACTGACTGCTAAACCAGGCTTTCTTTTGAGAGGAACCTCTTTATTTCTTTCTCATGACCAAAATCTATTTATACAAACAAAATACATCTATTTTTATCCAACTTAAATGTTCTCAGCCAGTTTAGTCAAACTCTTTTGACCTAAGTTTGTTTTTCCCAGGCTCACTATTTGAATAGTTTTAGAGACAGAAGTTATATCCTTGCATATAGCAATGCAGTTGTAGTGGGGCGGGGTGGGGGGAAAACACACAGCACAATTCTCACTAATGGAGCTGTTGGAAAACAGAATTGATGGCTCTCTAAATATGGAAGCTACTACTACTTGTTCTTAATACAGTTCTACAACCGGTTCATTTAATAAGGACTTATTGTGTGCCATACAGGGCACATGAATAATTTATGTATTCCTCTTAACAACCCTATGAGTTGTTATTATTTTCCATCCCATTTTACAGATGAGGAAACTGTGGTTTAGAGTGGTTAACTAATTGGGCCAATTCTACCCAGATAGTGAGTGATTAAGTCTGGGACATGCTAATTAAATTGTTAAGGTTAATAGATTCTATAATTTCCTCATGTCAGGCAGAAATATAACCATTGAATCAAATATTTTCAATGTTTATTCACAAAAGTGTGAATTGAGCTCTAAAACCTATTTGCAATAAATGAACAACAAAAGGGTTTATCAATCAATTGAAAGTATGTTGCTTTTTAAGCGTAATCTATGTTGCCTGCTGTTATAAGGTTGTGGGCTTCTCAGATCTCTACAGCATTTTAGAACTCAAAGGGATTTAGAATCCATTTACTTCAGTGTTTGTTCCTACAATGCTCAGATGCTGTCTAGTTTCTCAATGAGTGTCTTGGAGGAAGGGGTTGGGTTATTTGGCACACCTGGGGTTGTCTGGCAGAATAATTAATCCCATTTATAATACAATGTATAGATCATTTTCAGCTGTGACTGTTCTGTAACTAGTTGGTAAGAAACTGCTAGTTCAGTAAACTTATTGAAGCATTGACTAAACTGATTGTCTGAATGTTTAAATGTTAGACCAGTTTTAGTGATAGCATTGGTTGTATGACTTGACAAGGAAGGAAAATATGTCAGTTTTCCTGAGATTTATGTCCAGGATGTACAAACAACTTGAATTTTCTCAGATGCTCTTAATTTCCAATTTTCAGTTATTTTCTCTCCATAGTCCATTGAAATGTCCCCTAAATTCTAGTTTATAGAAATTAATAACTGAATGAATTAAGTCAGCAAACATTACAATATCAACTAGCTACAAAAGATGACACAACACAAAAGATGTGGAATCATAAACCTGGGGCTATCTGGCTGCATAAAAGTTATAATTACTAATAAAAATGCATATATGTCTAACATATATGAGGCACAACTCTTTATGAATACGGTACTTTCCAGTCATAAAGTTTTATAAAACCATGATAATAAAAATGCAAGTGTAATTGAGATTGCAAAGAAAACTAATACAGTACAAGGTGTATGATGGGATAATCATTATGTTCACTATAGGCCATTACTTTGTCTATGGTAGGAAGAAGTTTGAATTATATTCAGAAGGATTTAGTGATGCTTTAATATATCATGCACCTAGGCAGAAATAAGTTTCAATTATTTCTGCAAATATATACGTGTATAAATACATACATAACCACTAGAGGCAGTAGTTGTTGGAGTGTAAATTCTAGGGATTGACTGCCTGGCTTCAAATCCTGACTCTGCCACTTATTCATGCATAGCTTGGGCAAATTACTTAATTTCTCTGTTCCTCATTTTCCTCATCTGTAAAATGGAGATAACAATAAAATCTAAATCCTGTAGTTGATATGAGGATTAAGGGACTCAAAATAGTATGAATATTTATTGAGTTCCTGCTGTGTGCCAAGCACTATTCTATATCCTGGAGATATGGAGGTGAATAAGACAGGGCCCCTGCCCTCACCTGTTAAGACAACCAGTAAGCACACAGTATGAATAAGATAACTGAAGATTCTGAGTAAGTGCCAAGAAGACAATGGAAGCATCTTTTTAGAATGACTGAACTCATAATATAGCTTGAGGATATGACTGCTTAAAATATAAGTAATATAAGCATGCATATGTACAAGTATCTAGGATTTACAGTTGGCTTTTGGCACCTACTCACTAACGAACTTGTGGAATGGCTTTGCTGGATATATCTAACTAATATTTTGGTTTCTGTTCAATACAGGCTGCTCATCTCTTCTTTTCTGTGCTCTCCAAGATCTGTTGCACCTTCTTCCCTGTAAGCAGCCCATTGATTTTTAGGGCTGTGACTTTCCTAACCCCTTGCCTTCACTGTGAATTACCCTACATTATCCTGCTGAGAAGACATCAGAGTACTGCTAAGGAAGCTTTGCTTCACTCTCAATATGTTCTGTAAAAAATGCCTACAATTAAGAGCTGTATTAACAGAGAATGTCTTTTCTCAGTATTTGCATCATGCTGCAGCTCTTACAGTCCATCTCTGCCTTTCTCTCCCTGGCCTCCACTGACATTTTGCACATTGTCTTCTCAGCTGTCATGATGGATTATTTAGCTTAATTTGTCTGGAAGAGTGACTGTCTTATGGGGGTTTGTATTGAAAGCAGATTTCCCTCATTATTCAGAAATGAGAATGCCATGACACTTCGTAGGTAACACCAGTAGTCTTCCCTTGGCTGGCAGGAGTCAGGAAGTTTACTGTTTAACCTTTTCGTGCCCACTTTTACGTAGGCAACAAGAAAATATAGGATAGTTTCTAGTGTAAAGTGGGTATAACAGATTGAACCATAATAGCCAATTACTGAAAAAATAGTTCTTTGTTAGGTCATTTATAATAAATTTTAGGTTGAAAATATCTTCTCATGGGATAGAAGTCTCTGATATTGAAATATTGTTATGCATGTAGCACTTATAAGAGCTGTTTACTGAAATAATTTCTAAGTATTTTTCAGAATTGGTGTTGAATTACAAAGACTGAGTCAGTGAGAATGGAAGTACATTTGCTAGGCCTACTTTAATATCAATAGAATTGATGCATGGGGCAAGCAGAGGGAACATTCAAGAATTTTCCTTTGCTATACAACCCTTCTCAAGAGAATAAATTATTATAGTTTTCTTTTTAATGTAAGCTGGACCTTCAATGAGGAATATTTCTTCAGGTTTTTGTTTGTTTTGTTGCTTTTTTTTCAACTTTAACACACTTTTATAAAGACCATTCATTGCCTGTGAGATTGCAGCATAGGAACTGTGTATCTCAAAAGGCCATATTAAGCACCTAGTTATAAATACTTGTCCATATTGAGCCTCAGAAAATGATACCCTGAAGTGAAGGATTCAGATGTCTTTTGCCCCTCATTCTCCCTCAAGGTGAACCATAAAAACTGGAATTCCTCTTCCCTAAGGTGGGTCATACAAACCATATCTGCTTTTCCTCAAAGCCAAAAATAAAAGCTAGAATGATTAGTCTAACCTTGTCCTGCCTTTCTATCTAGGAGCTGGCCATAAAGACATTCTCTGACCTCCCCTTATTTGATAGTAGGTCATCAAACCCTAATTCCAGAAGGAGTCATGCCCCATACCCAGGAGGAAGAAATGCCACACAGAGAGGCCAAGAAGAATCAGAATAGACAGTTCTTATGGGTTTCCACACGCAGTCCATTACTATTAGATAATTCTTCCTTTGTCCGATCACATTTCTACACAACTGTCCACTCCATTGAATCTAAGCATAAAGATGGATAGTTTTCCCTGGTTCTTTGAGCCTTCTTTCAGAAGGCTTCTCTGTCACGTAAAAGCATGATTAAATATTTGTCATGCTTTTTTCTCGTTAGCCTACCTTTTGTTATAGGAGTGTTGGCCATGACCCTTATGACGGATGGGGAAAGACATCACATCCTTCCTCTCCTACTTGCAGAAATATGAATACTCAAGGTTAATGTCAAGGCAAGAAATCTATTTATCAATTATTTAATTAAAGTAACACAAATTATATCTTTAAACCATGATTTAAAAATTTAGCTAGCATTTATTTTGCCATGTTCTGTTGTAATCACATTTGTGGTGTTATTTTATTATCACAGTTTCTATCAATTAAGTATTATCTTATCAATTTTTAACATGGTTAAACTGAGGCATAGAGAGATTTCAGCAACAAAATTCTTAATCGTTATGTTCATCATTAGCACCATAAGGATTTCTAAGCAGGTAAAATTCAGGAAAAAGGTGCAAATTTGAATTAATAATTATGTAAGTGGGAGATTTTATTGTAATTAGCATTACCTTCAATGTCAAGTAATTCAAGGTTTAAAATAGAGCCTTCTAATTTTGTAAAGACATGATTTAGTAGGAAAGGAATTTGTCATTTGGGTAAAAGACTATTGCAGATGTTCATTGTATTTTGAAGGAATAGTTGCTATGAAAACATCTTTATTGACAACCACCACAGTCAGCAGTAACATATCCTTTTTCATTTCGGATTCGTTTTGTTACTAAAGGACGTTTGTTCCACTTCGCATCTGAATTGACAAGGAATGGACTCTTCAGCTCTGACAGGCAAGTGAGAAACCATTGGCTGACAGGATCAACAAAGAGACCAAGACAAAAACAAAACAAAACAAAACAAAAAAATCCACAGGAGTGGAGCTTAAAAATATATTTGTTTGAAACCCAGTCTCAGTAATGTCTTTATTTTACAATAGGAACTCAACTCTTAAGTTAAGGTTGCTACTCTTTTTCTTCTATAGCATATTATATCTATCTTTGCTGAAATAATGGCAAAGAGATGCTGGAGTGCATGTCAGAATGGTGAGGGAATGAGGAGTCATTGACTGCAGTCGTTTTCCAACTAAAGTAATAACAAAATGTAGGCTTCAGGGAAAAAAAGATACTTGAAAAGTTTAGATGAACTTTTTAAACCTAGAGCAGATAATTAGCAATGACCTTTTATTGCCTTTATTTCCTGGCAAGCACCTGTAATCCCAGTTACTCGGGAGACTGAGGCAGGAGAATCCCTTGAACCCGAGATCATGCCACTGCACTCCAGCCTGGGAGACCGAATGAGACTCTGTCTCAAAAAACAAAAAGTTTCCTTTGTTTTTATTAATTCAAAATTTCCTGAATTATAAAGACTTTTAAAACTTCATAATTGTTATATGTTCTACATGACTGTATTCAAGAATAATTTAGGAAAACATTATTGAGAAGATTTGTTAAAGCTTAATTTGGGAAAGTTGGGCATAGTGACATGTACCTGTAATCCCAGCTACTCAGGAGGCTGAGGCAGGAGGATTGCTTGAGGAGTCCAGGAGTTCAAGGCCAGCCTGGGCAACACAGCAAAACTCCATCTCTTAAAAAAAAAAAGTTTAGTATGGGTAGATATATTTAATATCTATCCCCTAAGGGCAACATAAATATTTTGGCTCCTTATGTCAAGGATTTCTGCATCAAATCTGCTTGTCTTCATTGCTAAAATAATACATTAGAATCATTCTGTGCTATACAATCACCATAGACTTACAACTAAAAACACAGCTTTATCATTTACTAGATATTTACTTTTAGAAACAAGATGAAAGGTGGAAACCTCACTCCTGAAAGCTTGGCTACTACCACACCTCAATTCAAAGGACCAATTGTGTCCTGACCTACAGGGAAGAGGAGGGCCTTGTAAGACTCAGGCAGGAATTGTAATATTCATGGAAGAGAAAGAAGACTTTATGTTATGAAGTAGAAAGAAGGAGGCAGACCTTATATTTGAAAAGGTTCAGAGGATGTCACCCCAAAATATGTCACTCTGGCCTAAGGACTATTTTGAGTCAAAGGCAATTAAACAAAACAAAACAAAACAAAACAAAACAAAACAAAACACAAGAAGACACGAGAAAAACTCTCTGTTATCCTCCCCCTCTATCAGGAAGGGCAGGATGATTCTATATCACCAGAAACAGCTATAAAGTCTACCAGCCCAAGGAAGGCACCAGAGAGGAATCTACATAGTATATAAAACAAACCTACTAACTAGACCTCATCCTCCATTAACTTTTCTTTTCTTTCTTTCTTCTTTCTTTTCTTTCTTTCTTTCTCTCTCTCTCTCTCTCTTTCTTTCTTTTTTTTTTTTTTTTTGAGACAGAGTCTCACTCTGTCACCCAGGCTGGAGTGCAGTGGCATGATCTTGATGATCTTGGCTCACTGCAACCTGTGCCTCCCAGGTTCAAGCAATTCTCCCGCCTCATCCTCCGGAGTAGCGGGTATACAGGTGCATCCCACCATGCCCAGCTAATATTTTGTGTTTTTAGTAGACACAGGCTTTCACCATGTTGGCTGGAGTGGTCTTGAACTCCTGACCACGGGTGATCCACTCGCCTCGGTCTCCCGAAGTGCTGGGATTACAGACGTGAGACACCGTGCCCAACATCTTCCATTAACTTTTCCCAAAAATTTACCTTCCCACAATTTGCTGCCCCTAGAAGCCCAAAGTTCCTTTCCTTTGTCCTGACACTTCTCAACATATTTATTATTCCTTGTTCAGATTGTTATATAACTCTAAGGTCTAACCACTCATTTGAGTTATACATTAGTGACAGTTCCCATTCTTATGCATTGTGCCTATGTTAATAAACTTGTTTTTATCTTGTTTAATCCGTCTTTTGTCAGTCTAAATTGCAGAGCTCCAGCCAATAGATCTAAGATGGGTGGAGAAACAAAGAATTTTTTCTTCCCCTATATAATCATAAATTCATAAACTTCAAAAATGTGATTTGAAATGCATGCTGAGACCATGCATTTAAAAAAGGTTTCATCTTTGGTTTTTGTGCAGCAAAATATAAAGGATCTATCATTTATTAAATGCCTAACAATTTTTCTCTAACCTGTGGGTTTTATGAAGCTTTTCTCCATCTAATATTGGCTGTCTTCTTTATCATTAACCTATTGTAAAGCTCAAGAGTTTATGTTTGTCACTAACATTTTAATTTATTAATAATTTCAAAAATAAAACTGTGCCTTACATGCTAAATGTTAGTTTAATAGAAAGAGATATGTAAAATGAATAGTTTCTATATGAATAAATTGGAACTAATGCAGACAATTACAGAAGTTTTTATTGAATATTACATCCTGCTTACTAATATGTGTTGAATCAACATATGTAGCCAGAAAAATGAAGAAAAGAGATTACATTTAAAATATCAAAATGTCAAAAATATATGCTTTCTGTTTTTGTGAGCTCTTCCTCTCCTTCCCATTACTGGAAGGAGTTAAATGTTTCTACTGTATTTCTTTCACACTACTGCGAAGAAACACTACCGATAAGGTTTTAGACTATATCCTTGCAGATATGTTTCCATGTATTCATAAGTGGGTATGTAGACATTCTTTATATAGAGATAGGGATATTTTTCTATATATTTATGCTTTTTAAATTTATTGTTGACATTATTTGATGTCAATACCCTAGAGATTTATGCTTTTTAAATTTATTGTTGACATTATTTGATGTCAATACACTAGAGAGTTATGCTTTTTAAATTTATTGTTGACATTATTTGATGTCAATACACTAGAGATTTAAGTGACCATTTTTAATGACTAAACATATGGAGGTACAATACATTATTTAACCAGGTCTTTCTTAATAGATGTTTATGGAATTTCATCCTTTTTTTTGTACTGAGAACAATTAGTGAACTTACTTTACATACATCTTTGCATAATTACCTAAATACTTTCTTATAATAAATTGTAAATAAATTGGGATTAAAAAGATAGATTTTAAAAAGTGTACTTTTTAGAAACCAAGTGTGTACCTTTAAATTGTCTTCTAGAAAATCCACATCAATTTATACCTTTACTATTAATGAGGACAATTTGTTTGCACATACCTTCAGCATCACTGAAATTTATATATCTTTTTATTTTTCCTAGCAAATCTCTCTTCAGAAGTCTGGAAAAGCAGAAAGAGAAGAATGAAGAAATGTCCACAAAACTGCTCCTATCCTTTACACCACATAGGACCAAACTCTTACCTTTCATCAGTTTTCAGTTTGTACATTAATGTATCCTGGTGAAGTTCCTCAACCACTTCTGCAACATTCAATTTTAATTTATATTTGCCCACATCATTTCATTTGTGATTTGGACACATGCAGGCTACTGAATATAATGGATACAAATCTCTCACTGATTCCCTTGAGCTATTTCATAGTTCTGCTTTCACAGGCAGGAGACAGTGAAGAAATAATGATTCAGTTATTTCTTAAAGATTTCACAATTCTACATTCAATAAAGAATATGTGAATTCCTGGAAGTTATGGTATTTGTGAAATATTTAACATCAGTTCCCATGGAAAGCGTGGACACATCAACAAGCCCCAGTCTCTTAGAATTTCATTCTGCTAGTTCACTGAATTCCCAAATGGGATTTGAGCATCACCATGGGAGTTGCAGGTAATGTTAGCAGAAAAGGTATAAAAATATTCTATAATAAAGTTTAACTGCTGACTAAAATGGCAGCTATGTTTTTCAGTTTGGAAGATCAATAAAGAGGAGGCTTGGTGGATACAATCTTGCTTATCTCTCTATCTGGATTATGAATGTGAAAGGATATTACTAAAATCAAAAGCATAAAAAGCAATATGATGTGACACCTTGAATTTGTTTACTTACTGAATCATAGTGATGGATTTCCTAATGTCGAACCATGAGATGCCATAGATTTTAAGGTATAGAGAAAAAAATGAATTAATAAAATGATATGACTGGAATATATTTAAATCTTAAGAACTTATTGCTAAACAGAAGAAATTATTATCTCAAAAATGTTAGCCAGGATATGAAACGCTGAAAATCTGAAACCATTGCTGTAAACCCAAGTGTTGGCTACTGTGAAGGTGGGGAGTTTGCTCAGGATGGAAGAGCAGGGGCCAGTGGAAATGTCTCCTTTTTAAAGGGGCAGGAGGAATGGCAAATTAAATACTCGAGTGGTTACACTTACTTATTAATTTTTATGTGTTAATAAAGACACATAAATAAAGACACATAAATTATATGTGATTTTTAGAATAGTTTATATTGTTAGAATAAGTTTATAGTTAGGGCTATGGGGAATCATAAAATAACATTAATTCAAAAACCAAAAGAGAAACAACAGAACTAGCAAAAAGCTTAATATTATTAGCAAGAATATAAAGAGAGGTAAAAATCGAAAAAAGGAATAAACGGTAAATAGCAAATAAAGTGAGAACAACACCGAAATATTAATCTTCACACTGAATTCAAATGAACCAAATTTTCCTGTTATGAAACAAGGAATATCAAATTGGGTTTTTAAAAAATACAGACATGTGCTGTCTATAAGAAACACACTTGAAAAATGAAGGCAAATGTTGAAAAGAAAAGGATGTGCAGAATTATAAAGTCAAATCCAAATTTTAAAAAGGAGGATTGACAATATCAATATATATAAAATGAATAAAAATTTATAACAAATGCATGATAAAAGCTGTAGTTCAAGGAGTTTATAACTCACCAGGGACACAGCATCAAATATACATATACAAAAAAATCCTCCAGAAACAAAAGTAATTTAATCAAGTAAGGATGCAATACATTAATAATGGAATCAGCAGACCCCTTTTCAAATATTTAAAAACATATATTTTTAAGTATTTGTATTCTACTAACTGAGAAAATGTTATTTTCTTATGTTATCAGACCATATACAATTGTGAATCATGTGCTGTACCTCAAAGAAGCCCACAGAAATCATTTTCTCCAGTACAGCAATTAAAAGTAGGAATCAACAGCAAAATCAAGATTAAAAAAACCAAAACCTCTCTTCTTAACAACCACTAGATCAAAGTAGAAATCAGATAACTATTAACGGCAAATTACCTTGCAATTAATTTTATGAGCACTTTACTTCAAATATGGAGTTGTGGCCTTGAAATTCTTACATAAACAACAACAAAAAAGCCTGAAATTTAGCAATTAAGAATTCAACTTACGGAAGTGGGAGGGGACCAAATTCTGTTATTCTAAGAGCTGAGCTATTTTAGGCTTCTGACTTATCTAATATATTTAAGGCCATACTACACAGAAATCATGGGGAGGCCTGGCAAGGATTCAGGTCTATTTTTGACAATTTCCATGTCATAGGCAGGAGCATTAATCTGGCAGCTCTTGCTCTGTGGGGCTCATGGGTAGATCCTCAGCCACAAATGCAGAAGAAGGTGGAAACTGTTAGGCATCAGCCTACCACATTGGCTGCTCATGAACAACTAGGAGCATCAGCCTCCTTCTTGGTTCTTCTCAAGACTTCCTGCAAGCCTTGCAGGTGGGTAGGCGGGGATCTGAAAGAAGCATCTTCACCCAAGAGTGGCGCTCCGGGCTCAGCGATTCTTAGCAAGCTGATGGCTCTCATTTTGGGCAGTAATGACCATGGTGCAGGTTACACCTTACCAAAGCCCACCAGGAGCCAGCCCAGTCCCACTTTACTGGCCAGATCACGGCCTGGTTTGTCCTTCTCCTCCATCCCCACAAGAGGGTCACCTTCTCCTAATTTGCACAGAGGTGCAGCAGGGCCATAAATAGAATGGAGATGGTGATAGTCAAAGACTGCAGGTCATAAGCCGTTTCCTTTCTGGGCCCAGGTGGGAGCTTAGGGAAGCCATCCAGATGACGCAATGATGAGCTGAGGCGATGGTCAGGGGTCTGATCTGTCCTTCCACAGGAAGGTGGGAATGGAAGGAACACATGTCTTTTAGAGTTAGACGCTAGGAAACCACAAAAGCAAGGTGTTAGCACTTCCTCCTGTTCTCCCCCTTGCTCTCCCTGAAGCAAGAACACAGTCTTTATAGGTCATGATGCTGTGCCAGGAAGGTGTGAATTCAAGCTCCACCATCTGAGCTGTGCTTCTGAGAACCCTTGGCCTCCAGCCACAGAAGGGATAGAGCTGCCTTCTTTTTGAGCATGGCTTATATCAAATGTGGCTCAAGCATGTGCCAGGTACCCAAAAACAGGATGGAGCCCTAATTCGGGCCTGAAGCCTCCTTTCACCGCCCTCCACCTCAAGGGCTGCTCACACCCTGTTCATCCTCCATTGATTTAAAAATTTGACTTTGAAGAAGCACAGGGATTTCCCAATACTTTGAAGCCCTATGCAAGCTTGTCCAACCTGTGGCCTGTGGATCGCAGGGAGACCAGGATGGCTTTTAATGTGGTCCAACACAAACTGGTAAACTTTCTTAAAATATTATGAGATTTTTTTTTTGAGATTTTTTTTTTTTTGGTCAACAGCTACTATTAGTGTTAGTGTATTTTATGTGTGGCCCAAGACAATTCTTCTTCTTCCAGTGTAGCCCAGGGAAGCCAAAAGATTGGACATTCCTGCTACAGATTCAATACACAACGTGGTGCCCCATGGTACTCCTGAAGCTTGCTACTCAGTCCTAAAACCAACAGTGCCAGCATCCCCTGGGAGACAAGACCCCCAGGAGATGGGTGTGCACACTCAAATTTGAGAAGCACTGCCCTACCAGACCATTTTCTCTCTGCCCCAGTCAGAATTAGGCCATGAGGCCGGGCGTGGTGGCTCACGCCTGTAATCCCAGCACTTTGTGAGGCCGAGGTTGGCGGATCACGAGGTCAGGAGATCAAACCATCCTGGCTAACATGGTGAAACCCCGTCTTTACTAAAAATACAAAAATTTAGCCAGGCGTGGTGGTGGGCGCCTGTAGTCCCAGCTACTCGGGAGGCTGAGGCAGGAGAATGGCGTGAACCCGGGAGGCGGAGCTTGCAGTGAGTCCAGATTGCGCCACTGCACTCCAGCCTGGGTGACAGAGCAAGACTCCGTCTGTAAAAAACAAAACAAAACAAAACAAAAACAGAATTAGGCCATGAGAGGGTAGAAAAGTGTCTTAAAGCTGAAATCTTTGAGTGGTGTGTGGTTTTACCAGTCTTTGCCTTTTCCTTAGGTTTAAGTTCCTGGAAAAGTGGAGAGTCTTTTAACATTTCATCTGTATACAGGACTGAGAATTGCTGTGGAGACACTTGGTTTGTTTCATCCATGCCTGGAGCCTGGAATCTGATTGTAACTTCTTCGTTCTCAAGGTTCTTTGGGGGGGCTCTGCTGTTTGAAGAATGTAATGTGAATGCCACTCAGTTGTAAAGCAAGTGAGGACTTGCTCATGATGAGTTTATTCTTTTCAGGACCCTGAACTAATTAGCTCTCATCTTACAAAATGTCATGGCATCATATTTTAAATTCATTAGGAAACACCGCCTTACAGTAGCTCTGTTTCCTGCAAGACAGTGACCTGTCAGATAAACAATGTGTTCCTCTCACTTCTTCCAAAGCAAACAATTCTTTGCAAGCAAGCCAAGTTTTACCAAAAATGCTGAAATTAACTGCTCAGGAAGGGGCATTTTTGTTTCTTTTCTTACATTTCTGTGTTTTAGACATAGTCTATTATGTTTCTATGGCATGATTTCAACATTAACAGCAAACACTTAATCACCATTTTGTTTACAATGAAGTATAGGTTGACGAATACTCCATTCATCATGATGAAGATTTCCAAACGCCTATTGTATATACATGCTTTGTTAGACCACCTTTTAAAAGAACTCAAAATGTATCTTTTAAAATACGGTATTTTCAAATTCACCAGGTTACTTAGCTTTCTGTCTTACTATATAACTGACGAAGTAAATAGGGCATTTTGCTTAACCAGCTTCAGTCTGATCTCTGTGGGGGTACAAAAAGGAAGAGAAAAGCCCTCTTTTAAAGAGTTTACAGTCTAAAGTAACATCCACAAACCAGAGAAAATTGTATATTATGTTATGGTTGTTATCGCCTAAATTGAAGGTCAAAAAAAGGAGAAGCTATTGCTTGGTGTAGGAGGCTAGGAAGCCTGCATGCAAAATGTGTGGTTTAGAAATTTCCACATAAAGAAAGTCAGGCTTTTCAAGGAATGTGGGTGTGGTAATAAAAAAAAATCAGCCAGTACTTGTGTGCAAATAAACTACAAGATGCCTTTCCCAGCAATTCTAATTTCAAATATCCTCTTTCTTTTATAGCTTAAATTTGTCACGAGGATGCCCTGCGTGTGACAAATGGGAGCAGAGAGAAACTTGCAGGACACACCAGGACACACATTACATACACACAGCATGAGAAAGGCTAGAATTAGAACTTTAATAGTATAATAGATCTTCTGATTATCAGTGTCATGCATATTTATTCCAAAATATTTGAAAATAGTGTGGAGAGTTGGGTAATTTTTGAGGGTGTGGAAGTAGGGTTGTTATGTGAAGACTCTTAGAAAAGTAATAAAGAAGCGATTTTATTCTAATATTGCTTATCAGACGTAATTGCTATAAGCATTTAGGACCACATTTTACCAGAATTTTTGGTGCATTTATTAATTACTAAAAATAGAATCGTATGATATACTCTCTGTGTAACCCAGGTTTTTAAAAAATAGCAATGTATTCTAGATATATTTCTATACCAGTACTATAGATTTGTATGATAAAAATTTTAATATTTATATAGATTTTTAGAAGTAGAATTGCTGTTAAGGAAATGTATTTTTAGGGTTATATATATAATATTCATGTTGTTTTCGAAAAATACATCAGTTTACACCTCTACAAGCTGTATTTAAGAGTACATATTTTTACATACTTACCAGCCCTGAGTATTATCAATATTTTTTAATTACTGCTGTGAACCCTTAAAACTAACTTTGGAGGTGGGAGGAGAGGGATAAAGGAAGCTACAATTCACTTCATTTAGTCTGTTGAAATTGCTTTGTCTTGCATCAATTTTCAATGCTATGCTATCACTTTGATGTACAGTATGAGAAGTTATCTTCTTTAGCACCATTCAGTATTCACTTGTGTTATCTACACTGTTCTTTGTGAGGTTTGACAAATGCACATGATGAACAAAATGGAAATGATTCCGTTTGAGCTGTTCATGGCCTTTGCTTTAGTAAGCAAATAAAAGTTGAGAGTTTTTCAGCTTTTCCTTAAAAAGTTTAGAATGTTTTTATCTGCTTCAACTGCTTCAATATGAGAAAAATTTCAGCTCTTGCGTGATGTATTTCTGATGTAATTAGAAGAAACCTTTATGCTAGACTTGTAGGTCTCTTAATCCTGTCACCTGTGTGTTGCAGAATGCGCCTGCTTGACTCAGAGTTTCTAGATCCTGTGCAAGAGAGAAATTTGTAGCAAACATGGGCCTCGACTCATAGAACTCACTATCTAGAATGGGAGCTATGAAGTATATGGGATACAGTATACTAATGATGAGCTTCGTGATAGGTATGAATTCCAGAAAAAGACAGAAACAATTTGCCTTCACATTGTATCCTCTCTAAGGAATCACAATTTCTCTTTTGAATTCTCTTGGGCACCATGTTCACCAGGAAACCTCTGAGTTCCCAATCTGGGTTAGAGACCCTTTTAGGATGCTTCTGTTAGACTCTATGCATGTCTCTATCACAGTAAACGACCCCATTCTTTCTTGTATCTCTCTTCTTTGCTATACTGTGAGTAAATATAGAGCAGGTAATAACACTCATTTTTACATTTCTGGGAAATGGCACCTAGAATGTAATTTTTGTTTTTTGTTTTGGAGACAGAGTCTCCTTCTGTCGCCCAGGCTGGAGTGCAGTGGGGCGATCTTGGCTCACTGCAATATCTGCCTCCCAGGTTCAAGCGATTCTCATGCCTCAGCCTCCTGAGTAGCTGGGATTACAGGCACCTGCCAACACTCCCAGCTAATTTTTGTATTTCTAGTAGAGATGGGGTTTTGCCATGTAGCCAGGCTGGTCTCAAACTCCCGATCTCAAGTGCTGGGATTACAGGCATGAGCCACTGCACCCAGACACCTGGCACATGAAATTATTTAATAAATGTTATTGAAATGTATGTAATGAAGAGACAAAGGAAGTTCAGAAAGGGAACTGGTAGGTATCATTTTGATTCTGAGGCACCAGCAGCTTCCTGAAAAAGCCAACATTTAGGAAGCAATTATAGAGTGCAACTGAGAAGATGGTCTAGGGGCTCTGAATGTTGTGGCATGGAGAGTATTCACTTTCATCTGCAAGTGGGCTGCCTTGACTTGCCTCAGTAGACAGCAAATTAGATTGGTGATTTAGGAGATAATAGATTTAATTAATTTTTAAAAAGTGATGCAAATTTCAAAGACGAATTAATTCTCGGAGCTAGCTTTTATTTAAATGGGGCAGGGAGCTGGAACAATAAAATTTCTTTTAGAATTTTAAAACAAGTAATCTTCTAAATAATGGATGGCTTCTGATTATTTAAGGGATTGTCTCGCCCGGACCCTTTCCTGTCTCCCACATTACCTGCCCTCTTTACCACGCTTTTAGTCAACATTTTAAAAAGTAAATATATTAGTAATAGGCATTCAAGAGATGTATGAAGCAATTTAGCTGTGAGAGGCTTCCCAGGGAAAGGAGAAGACCATATTATTTGATGAGGTTAAAATGCTTTTATAATATAGATATATAGTATGTAACTTATAAGAAAACAAGCAGTTACTTTTTAAGCTTATTTTTTATTTATTTTAATTGACAAAAATTGCATGTATTTATCATGTATATGTTGTTTCGAAATAGGTATGCATTGTGGAATGGCTAAATAGAGCTCATTAACATAGGCATTACTTTACATACTTATCTTTTTTGTGGTAAGAACATTTAAAATCTACTGTCAGCAATTTTCAAAAATACAATATATTGTTATTAACTATAATCTCCATGCCTATTCTTCCTATCTAACTGAAATTTGTTATCCTTTAACCAATATATCCTCAACATCTGCCCCCAGCCGCTGATAACCACTCTTCTACCCTCTAACAAGCAGCTCTTAATTATCCTGAGAAACACATTTCAGAGCAAGTCTGAAAGAATGACGGTTAATATATTTGAATATAAAATAGAAAGTTCCAACTCACCATACAATTTCTGTCGTCTTGATACAATCTATAAGGATATGATTATTCTGCATTTTTATTCTCAAGGTTTTCATAAACCTTCCTTGTAGAACCCTTTAGAAAAGAGTTACATCGTCAGTATTATCTTTAGCCTTATTATCTTCATTTTTGAATTGAGTCTCTATTTTCTGGAGGTTATCCTTGGATTAGAACATTTTATTACAAAATCAGAAAAAAGAAAGTCTTAGAGTGAGACGGGATCTTGTGGCTTTCCTAAACCAACCCTGAACAAATTGAATTGAAAGACAAATACACTGCTATGAAAAGAACATAAATTTCATAACCAAAAGACCTTGATTGGTGCCATAGTTCCGACACCTACCTTGTAGATTTTCTATCAAACAGAAATGGAATTAAAAGCAATAAATGCTTGAATTAAAGTAAAATATTTGATTAAATTAAATGTTTTAAATATTTTGATTGAGTAACTATTGAAATAAATACTCCAGTAGAATGTAGGCTCCATTAAAGCTAGAATTTTTCAGTTTTCCAGAGCCTAGAACCATGCCTGGAACATAGTAGGTGCTCTGTACTACACTCAATTGCTCTTTAAATGATTGAATCTGATAAATGAATAGTTTTGAAGAAATAAAACCTAGTTAGCACTAAAATAGTATTGACTATAATTCAATTTGAATAATTCAGAGTTAATATTTTAACTATTGTATATTCTGGTATTATTAAAGTTTTTTTTATTTTGAGGTGCCAGAAGGTTATTTTAGGGGTTCTATTTTTATGGATTGATGATAATAGGGGCCACTGGACTTTAACCTCCACTTTAAAACTTCCAGAGACAAAGAGCTAACTATGTATTTGTTTAAACTTAGAATTGTTACTAATGTGAGACTATTTTCCTTGGATTCATAGGAGAAGACAAGGAAATATTATTTAAGTACCAATATTTTGGCAGTGAACTATCAAATAAATTCACTCCTTATTCTATCCAACTACTCATCTATTCATGATGGATCTGCACTGGAAGTTGGTACAACAGATGAACCAGGAAGTGTATGGTGTTTAGTGGTTCAATAAACTCTTCCTGTTTAATATTTATTGGGCATTCTCAATGTGCTAAGTAACCCACAGAATACAGATTAGGTCACAGTTCTCACCTTCAAAAAATAAGACATAAGCACCTCATAAAGTCTGTGTGGAATGAGGCAACTTGCCAAACCAAAAAAATAAAAAATAAAATTTGAAAAGTAATGACCACTATTTTACTCTATCTTTTCTACCTTGATTCTTTCTTGCTCAGTCTGAAGGAATAAATCTGAGACAGAGCGGATGGGGCACATCCAGCCTGTGTTCAGTTACCAGGCCATTGAAGTAGACCCATCGATCTGCAAAGCGCTGTACTGAATTGCCTTTGTGGAAGAAAAGTTTGATTTGTGCTTTAAGAGGAAAAAATCCATCAGTTTTTAAAAGCTGTGATGCAAAGTTCAAAGAAAAGTTACTCTAGAATTTCAGCTGTATTTAATTAAGGCAGTGACTTGAGTCAGGAAAAACTATTCCTTTCAGAGTTTTAAAAACAATTAAGTTTCTAAATAATCAATTAGAAATTAAGGCCATGTTAAATAGGGTGGTCTTCTATGGTGAGAAGAGACCTGCGTCAGGTGACCTCCCCACTACCCTTGAAGACAGCTCCCTAAAAACAAATATATTTGTAATAGGAATTTGAATTTACCCTGTGATCAATAAGGAACCATTGCTAGCTTTGGTCACAAGTTAATCTACATCTGTATTGTCCAAAAAAAATCTATTAGGCCCTTAAAATGAGGCTAGTCCAAATTGAGATGTGCTGTAAGTATAGAATATGCACTAGATTTTGAAGACTTAGTGTCAAAAAAGAATGCAACTATCTTATTTATAATGTTTATATTGATCACTACTTAAAATATAATTGGCTACATTGGGTTGAAGCATATTTTAAAATTAATTCTGCATGTTTCATTTTACCTTATTTAATGTGGCTACTAAAAAAATTGGAATTGCATAATGTGGCTCACATTCTATCTCTATTGGAAACCAATACTGAATATTGAGAAAGTTTTTCTGTTGCCCTGAAGTTGGCTTCTCGGATCTCTAGATGAGGACAAGAAGTGCCCATTGGCTCCACATTCCAAAGCGAGCAGCCAGCGATTTGGTTACCAACTCTCTAAACTAAGAGGTAAGGAGCTATTCCGTCTACAATCCCAAATTCAACAAAACAATAACTTTTGTGGACAATGTTTGTGGAGAGAGGCTTTCCTGCTCACCTGTCTGTGTTCACATTCTGTCCACCACCATGCCCAGTGATGAGGCCTGAAGGTTAGGGATCAGGAACAAGAGCTTGAGGATCCCTGCAAGAGGTGAAGCTATGCATTTTGGTTCCATCCCTGGCTGAATGCTTGATCAGCTGCAAAGTCTCGGGACCACACTGCATGAAATTGCAGTGGAGAGTGTGATGAGAGAATCATTGGGAATGCTTGATGTGTGTACCTTGTAGGTGGCTATTGAACTGGAACTTGGAGACTGGTCCTTTTTTCTAGTCTAGGAATGTATGAAGGCAGGTGGTTTGCTATAACAGTTTTGCTATAACAGTTCAGTAATTTGCCTGTGAATAAAAGCCAAAGGGAGGGAGAGGAATCATCACACCAAGTCCTGTGGCCCTCAGGGAAAAAAGAAGAGGACCACTTTGACTCCCATGGCTCCCCGTGAAGGGGTATTGAGACTAGGGAGCAGAGGCTGCAGGGTTGTTCAGGCGTCCTGGCTAAATGAAGGAATACTTCACCTCACCAAGAATGCCATACTTCCACAGAGCTGTGTGTGTGCATGTGTGCGTGTGTGTGTGTGTGTTGGGGGCGGCAGGGGGAGTACAGAGGAAGTGAAGGTAAAGACTATGACATGATAATTGAGTGTTTTCTTCATAATATGAGGTACTTATCATTGGTCCTTACCTATAAACCCTAGTTCCAAGCACTTGGAAAGATCCACTCAACATTTTACTAAATCCTCACCTGGGTCTCTGCCCTACTGAAATGCTATTAATGGCATGCCATTGTCTGCAAGACAAAACCCTAACTTCTCAGAAGGTAATAGCCATGGCATTTGGTCCTTACATACCTTTCTAGCTTTTCTCATCTGTTAATCCCACTCTTTCTGTGTTTCATCAGATAGAATAACCTTGAACCACCCACCTTTGCCTGAAATCATGCTTCCACTCATTCAGCAAATACATATTTCTTACATCTTATGTATCAGGCATTCTTCTAGGCATTAAATGCATAAAAGGTGAATCAGACATTCTTCCTCCTATCACCAAGCTTATAGTCTAATGAATAGGATCTCTTGGTAAATTCTGTCCTTGACTCTTGAATATGCTTCCTTTCCTCTTTCACCACAGATTAAATGTTACCTCCACCACGAAGCCTTTCTTCAGGTAGAATAAATGCTCTCTGGCTCTGTACTTTGTGTTTACTGTTGTCACTATTATTTGATTATCTCCCCACCTCCCTGGAGATCTCAACAACAGGAGCTGTGCCCCATCTACCTTTGCATTCACAACACCTGGTACATTAAGGGTTCCTAAAAAATGAACACTGAAATGCCTCAACCTCATTGTCTTTTGTTTAATTCTATCTTTATTTCTTATTTTTGTATTTTCTCTGAGGTTATATAATATCCAGAGCTTAGCAAGCCAAGTTTAGTTCAGAACAGTTACACAATCCAAATATGTTTTAAAGAAGCCTATTCCAAGCAGCATTGGTTAGATGATTTAACATATTTCTTCCTGTATCTAAACAATGAAGTCATTTCTGTTTTTTGGGCAAAAAGTAAAGTACACAGCTCCCCAAATTATTCTCAAAATTAAGGATAAACAGCTGCTATCATTTTGAAAATTAAAAAAAACTATTTTGACCATCAGAGGCTCATTTTAATGCATACAAAAATAGTGCTATATATAGTTAACACAGACTTGCATGTTGCTAAGTTATAATCACTGAGTCACTGATTAAGAAGTAGCTTACATCTGGGACTTGTCTTGAAAACAAGATTTTTTTGCCATCAAAATGGTTATTTTCTTTTCTTTAGTATCTGACAAAAACTAAAGTAACACAAGGTTCAAAATGGAAACCTGTGACACTTTCAAAGCTAGTAGTTGAACTTTATTGATCTGCTTTATTCATAGGACTAAAATAAAAAAGTACGTAGTTGATTAGAGTTCCACACAAGCTCCGAATTTACAAGACACGGAAACAGCAGAATAATCCTAAGCATCTGAAGGTGTCAAAGAAATCAGAGTCTCAGCCTCCCATAGTATCTGGCAGCCCACGATAGTATGGGGGCAATAGAAGCAGCAGGTGATGAGGATGAAGCAGACAGGATGGGACTGTGAGGAGAAAATCATGCAATGAGGCAGCAGCAATCTGTATATAAAATCTGTCAAGTACCAACCGAATGATGGCCAAGTCAGCAGATGACAGCATTAATGGATTAGACATAAGGTCAAATACTCTACACACACACACACACACACACACACACACACACAAACACACATACACACACACACACCCCTCTGCTCTGTATGTGCCTCCTGATTTTCAGATGCAACTGCAGAAAATATATCAGGGAATGAATCCTGAAATAAATGAGATTTATTTTTACCACCTGGTGCAATGGGCTTGAAATATAAATCAAGTTGACTTATGGAAAAAATATTACATTTCTTGCATTCTTGAGTTTAGGAGCTGCTATGCAAATATGTTGCACTATATCCCTGTTTATTTGTGTTTATTTCTCAAAAATATAGTTCTAGAAGTGAAATTGCTGGGTCACATTTTGGTGGGTACTACCAAATAGCTCTCCAAAATTACGTATATGTTTATTTTTCTGCTAACAGTATATAGGCCTTCCCTTTGCCTGATGCCTTTACTAGTGCTAGTCATTAGCTTCTAAATGTTCACTTATCTAAAATATTTCCTTTCATTTACTTCTTCAGAAATACTCTTTTGGTTTACTTCCAGAAAGGCTTGTCCAACAATAATTACATTTAGCTTGTATTACATTTAAATCCAATGTCATCAATTTATTTTTGTCATCTATTTCCTTTCCTTTTAGGAGACGTGGAATGGAAGTGGAAAACAGAGGACTAATAGTTATTAGGCGGATACTTGGAATTGGGAACATTGCAGGTAGTGTTTCTAATCCTAGTAACATTATGCCAGTGAGTCTCAATGTGTGGTCTCTAAACAAGCAGCATCTGCCATCACCTGAGCTACCTTTTTAGAAATGAAATTATTGGGTCACGTCATAGACCCATTGAATCAGAAAATCTGTGGAGGGCCCTGCAGTCTGCTTTCTTTTATTTATTTATTTATTTTTTGAGACAGAGTCTCTCTCTGTCACCGAGGCTGGAGTGCAGTGGCGTGATCTTGGCTCACTGCAGCCACCGCCTCCCAGGTTCAAGCGATTCTCCTGCCTCAGCCTCCCAAGTAGCTGGGATTACAGGCGCCTGCCACCATGCCCAGCTAATTTTTGTAGTTTTAGTAGAGACGGGGTTTCACCATATTGTCCAGGCTGTTCTCGAACTCCTGACCTTGTGATCTGCCCACCTCGGCCTCCCTAGGTGCTGGGATTACAGGCATGAGCCACTGCACCTGGCCTGCTTTCTCTTTTTACACGACCTCCAGGTAATAATGCCAATGTAGCCTAGAATTTGAGAACCACTGAATTATACCCATTTTATAGATGGGGAACTGAACAGAGAAGTAAGCAGCTTGCTCAGGTCATCAGCCATAGAATTTGGCCTGACTTCAAAGTCAGCACAATGCTTTCTCCTTGTGTACAAGCAAATTTTATTAGGAAATAATATGTCCAATGTAAGATTTGCTCCTGGGGGACAACAATATAGTAAAGTGTGACTATAGAACTCTGACAAAACCAAGAAGAAGCAGAAATCTGTAGTTATCCAGGTGGTTACTGACTGAGAATGCCAGGTTCCCAAAACTGGGAGAGACAGACGTTGCTGATGTATCAGCCTGCAATTGGGCCTGAAATGAACCTTGGGTCTATTAATCCTTTCATTCTCACGAAGAGGGCAGAAATGTGGAAAATAGACAGTATGCAGGGATAGGCCCATTATTTATGGGTTAGAATTACTGTAGTACTGAAAACGTAGTAAAAGACAGAATCAAATTTGAAAGAAGACAAATGTATTATATGCTAAAATTAGAGCATCTTTGTCAGAGATGTTTATTAGTTACTGAAATTTTTTGTTTATTTTTTCAGAAAGGAGAAAATACTGAAGGTTTTGTGGTAAAACATTCGGATCACAGAAGTGTATGAGAAATAGAGAGCAAAGGGCTCTCATTTTGGCAGAGGAGAGAGTACAGTATGACTCATTATTAAGTATATAAAAATAAATTCTATGAGTTGCAGATTCACCCTATTTCCCTTTGTGTACTCAGGCTGTATATAGGAATAACTGGCCACTGCTCGTTTGATTCAAGAATGTAACCTTGAAAATGGGGCCCAATGCATGGATCCCAAAATTCAAGGGCCCTTTGAATCTAGAGTTAAGGCAAAGACAAATTTGACTTTTTATATGTTCCCAAATGGCCAAAAGGGACTCCTGAGTTGAACTTCAGCAAAATGCAGTACTTTGCTTTTTCTGCTGAACCATATAACAACCAGAAAAAAAAAGTGATCAATTTAGCAGAAAGGAGTGTGGGTAGTAGTGTGTAATGCAGCAGTTCTCAAGCTTTAGTGTGCAAAGGAATCACCTAGAGGGCTTGTTAAACACAGGTTACTGGGCAAACTCCCAGAGAGTCTAATTTATTAAGTCTGAGGTGGTGCCTGAGAATTTGCTTTTCTCTAACAAGCTCCCAGGTGATGCCGATACTCTTAAGTACCACTCGTGAAGGGAAAAGAGTTTCGATTTGGAAATCAGAACACATATGTCCTTCTGCAAATCCTAACATATGATTACCAAGTGCCTTTGGACAAAATCACTTAACCTTTCTGATTTGTGATTTCTCCTTTGTCAATTATGGCTGATGATAGTAACACCAACGTAGTTAGGTTGTCACAATTGTTGGGAAAGCCAAATGAGTTGGTACAGGAGAGTTTGTGAATCCTAGTTAATAATGTTTCCTCTCCTTTACTTTTATAGTTTAAAAACAAAACTCCTTCATCCACAAGTGTATCTCCAGATGGTTCTGCCTTGCTTTTCTTGGGGCTGATTTAAGTCAAAGTAGATAAGCAGTCTATCACAATGATAAATTGGAAATTCTGGTAGACAGTGTTAGTGGCCTACACAATAGCCACCTCCTCCCCGTGTTTCTTGCTAACACAACATTAATTTTGTGGAAGAATGAGGTAGCTTTGTGCTCAAACATAGAGTCCCTTGCCTAGCCCAGGCCCATGACTCATGATTGGTCTATGCCTATCTTGGTAACCTTGGCTTTTTCTCATGTGAATAATGTTGAGAGGACCAAATTCATACATTCAGTAAATATTTATTTAATATCAAACACTGTTCTTTGTGTAGATGAATAAGAGTTACTAGTAGTCTGGAATGGTAGGCCCACATTAAATAATTAATAACTCAAATAATTTCTCCTGTGAAGAAAAAGCAGTCTGTGCAGTAATACTAAGTAATTGGAATCGTAACCTGCTCTGGGATAGAAGAGTGGAAATGGATCTCAAGGAAACATTTAAGTGGTACTTAAGCAAAGAATAAGGATGGATAGGAACAAAAATATTTTAAGCTTTAAGCTGTGAGATGAGAATAAGCCTTGTGCGCTATACAAATTGGAGAGATAAAGTGCAGTCAGATCACAAAAGATGTTATAGGTTATGTACAGACTTTAGCCAAAGAGAAAAGTGAAAAATCACTGAAAGATTTAAGCTGGTAGCCATTAGAGCACAGTGGGATTGAAAAAAAAATTACTCTAGCTGCCTGGGAAGAATGAATTGAAACTGGCCCAGGTGGGGATGTGTGAAACCCATTAACAGACACAACAAGAGGTGGTTGCAACTTGGACTAGAGCTGCTCTGTCCAATATTGTAGACACTAGCTACCTGTGGCTATTGAGTCCTTAAAATGTGTCCTGTCCAAATAAAGTTGTGCTTTAAGTATAAAATACATACCAGATTCCAAAGATTTAATAAGAAAAAAGTAAAATATCTAATTACTAACTTTTTTCATTGATGACATGTTAAAATGACAATATTTTGGATATGCTGATATCTTAATAAGATATCTTATTAAATTTGATTTTATCTGTTTTTCACTTTTTAAAATGTAATTATTGGAAACTTTAAGATTATATGTGCTACTCTCATGTATGGATTGCATTATATTTATTGGACAATGCTGATCTAGAGTTTGACAATACAGTTGGAAGGACATAGGCACATTTTAAAAGGGTTAAGGACACTAAGACTAAATTGACTAACTTGATGATTTATTGTGAAATACAGGACCATCAAGGATCATATGTCTAATCTCTATAAAAAATTGAGTGATAGATCATTTCTTGATATACTGAAAGCAGAGCTGGGTTGAAGAGAATATGAAAGCTAATGTGTTCTTGTTTGGTCATATTGAGTTTGATATTCCTCAGAAAAGCTATCTGAGCAGTACATGAGAATTTAGGAGTTGGCCAAAGATGGTAGATAAACCCATGGCAGTGGTTGAGTTCAAGGGGAAAATGACAATTTAAAGACAAGAGAAGGGGCTCATGAAGGAGCAGACAGAGGGTAGTAAGCAAACTAGGAAGGGGAATGTGTTATCAGAAGAAAAAGAAAGAGATATCACCGTATCAAAGGCTACTGAGACAAAAGCAGTAAAATGTGGAAAATTATTGTAAGTGAAATTTAGTAGTGGACACATGGTAGTTCATTCCTACTATTCTCTCTATGTTTGTGCATATTAAAATTCCTATAATGTGAAGTTGCTGTTGAATTTTCTAGAGACTGAAAAAGATAGGGGCTGAAACATGTTCTTTGGGGAAAATTAAATGAAATCACCCATAAATTTCTATCAGCTTCACATTATACATATTTACAGCTCAATTAATTAAATAATACAATAGATGCAAATCTTAAGACTCAAGGAGGCTTATCTAATAAAATATACATTATACATATTCTTTCTCCTATGGCAGTAACTGTTTTTTTCATGTAATTTGAGAAGGGGAAATGTAAGAAATGCAAGTACTCATTATACATAGGTGAGCAAGAGGATAAGAATAAGTTGTGATCATGTTGAATTTTTATTCATTTTCACTGACCTAAGGAGGAATAAGACATGTAGACATAAAACTGACATTTTAATAACTTGGATGATAACATGCAGAAGCTTAAATCAAAAATAATATATTCCAGTCTCATGGTTTCCTATTAAGATTTTAGCCAGCAAAGAGTAAGAATTGGCTAAGTCTTTGTGCATGGTATCATGTAATTATTTTGCTTATAAATTCAAATTCCTGGAATTGTAAGTAAAACAATTTTAAATGACAGGAATTAATATATCATGTCCCAGAATGCTTTTCTTCACTAGGCTGGGATTTTTAAGAGCAGTAAAAATAAGAAAAATCAACAGCTCATATTAGATTGCACTGAAATTTTTAATACAATGTAAATGCTAGGAAAACTTATTCCTAAAATCTGTTTAAAATGTACTAGAAATATATTTTTGTGGAAAAATAAATTCTTTTGAGTTTGGAAAGAGAATAGAACATTTATAAACAATATCCAAAATATATAAGAAACTAAAACTACTGTATAACAACAAAAAACAAATAACCCAATTAAAAAATGAGCAAAAGACCTGAATATACATTTCTTAAAAGAAGACAGGCAAATGGCCAAGAGATCTATGAAAAAATGCTCAACATCACTAATCATCAGGAAAATGCAAATCAAAATTACAATGAGATACCACCTCACTCCAGTCAGAATGGTTACTATCAAAAACTCAAATGATAACAAGTGTTGATGAGGTTCTGGAAAAAAGAGAACCCTTACACACTGCTGGTGGGAATGTAAATTAGTACGTCCATTATGAAAAAACAGTATGGGCTGGGTGTGGTGGCTCACACCTGTGGTCCCAGCACTTTGGGAGGCCGAGACAGGAGGATCACGAGGTCAGGAGATCGAGACCATCCTGGCTAACATGGTGAAACCCCATCTCTACTAAAAATACAAAAAAAAAATTAGCCGGGCATGGTGGTGGGCGCCTGTAGTCCCAGCTACTTGGGAGGCTGAGGCAGGAGAATGGCATGGACCCAGGAGGCGGAGCTTGCAGTGAGCCGAGATCACGCCACTGCACTCCAGCCTAGGCGACAGAGCGAGACTCTGTCTCAAAAAAAAAAAAGGAAAAAAAAAGTATGATTATTTCCTATAAAAATTAAAAATAGTACAACCATGTGATCTGGCTATCCCAGCATTCCTTTGGGTATGTATACAAAGGGCGGGGGGGAAATGTACATTCAAGGGATATCTGCCTCTGTTTATTGCAGCACTATTCACAGTAGCCAACCTAAATATTTATCAACAGATGAAGAAAGAACGTGTGGCATAATACAAAATGGAATACTATTCAGCCACAAAAAAGAATGAGATCCTGTCATTTGTGGCAGCGTGGATAAACCTGGGGGATATTAAGTAGAGTAAAATAAGCCAAGCAAATACCATATGATCACATTCACAAGTGAATATAAAAAGTTGTTCTCATAAAGTAGAGAGTGTAGAATAGTGGTTACCAGAGGATGTGGAGGGTTAGGAGAGGGGAGATGGTGAAAAACTGGTCAGAGGGTATAAAGCCTCAGTTAGATCGAAATAAGTTCTGTTTTTTTATTGAATAGTAGAATGACTTACAGTTAATAATAACAGATTGTATATTTCAAAATAGTTACGAGAAGTTTTGTTTTTGTATGTTTGTTTTGCTTGCTTGTTTTTTGGGAGACAGGATCTCGCTCTGTTGTCCAGGCTGGAGTGCAGTGGTGTGATCATAGCTCACTGCAACCTTGAACTCCTGGGCTCAAGCAATCCTCCTGCCTCTGCCTCTGCCTCTGCCTCTGGAGTAGCAGTAACAGGGACTACAAGCATGTGCCACCATGCCCAACCCAGGCTTTTTTTTTTTTTTTTTTTTTTAGAGACAAGGTCTTACTTTGTTGACCAGACTGGTCTCAAACTCCTTGCCTGCTGGTCTTGAACTCCTGGCCTCATGTGACCCTGCCTTGACCTCCCAAAGTGCTGGAGTTACAGGCATGAGCCACTGTGCCCAACCTAGAAGAGAGGTTTTATAATGTTCTCGTGACAAAGAAATAATAAATGTTTAAGATGATAGGTATGCTAATTACCCTGTTTTGATTATTACACAATGAATACATGTACAGAAACATGTTATACCTCATAAATATATACAATTATCATATGTCAGTCTTAAATATTTTTAAAGTTAAATATTGAAAAAAATTTAATGTAATAGGCTCTCTGGATTATTCAATAAATGCCTTTGAAACAGCCGATCAACTATTTGTAATAATTCATAATAAAAATGGAATTTGATTTCTAGAACCATATGTCCAAATATTCTAAAATAAACTCCATATGGGCTGAATATCCAAATGCAAAATGAAACAGAAATGCTAAAGAATGTATAAGTGATTGTACATATTCAGCAGAAAACATAAAGAAAAATATTGACAGATTTTTTTTTTAATTCAGGACATTAAAAACATCCTAAACTAAATTTAAAGGCAAACCAGAACGCAGAAGAAATTTTCACAATACATAAGAAAAGGCTGATATACTTAATATAAAAATCTTAAAGAACTATAGGGAAAAAAGATAAAGAGCTAGTTAAGATACAGGGGAAGGCATGAAAGAGAAATTTCCAAAAATGAAACGAGTAAAATCTATTACATATAACTAGCAAAGATTTTTTAAAATAATAAATGCTACTCTGAAGCACGGGGTCTCTCATATTCTGCTGGTAGAATTTAATATAATCTTTTTGGATTATGTTATTTGAAATTTAGCAATTTCAAAACATACTTTAAACCTAAAAAACTATATAAGGTTTTTGACCCAGAAAGTTTACTTTATAGATTATATTTCCAGAAATTCTAGGAAAGAAGGATTGATTGAATAAAACATGTTACTGATGTACAATGAAATTTCATTTGGGAAATATGTGAAGATAAATGGTTAATATTATGAAAATATTTTTAGAATACAATTTTTAAATATGGTAAGAGGAAGTATCATCTCATTTTCCCCATGTAACTGTAAAATACACAAAAAAAGATAAAAGTGGTTATTTCTGAGCAGCAAAATAATGATAATTTTTTTCTCCTTTTGGCTTTTCAGAATTTTGAATTTTTTTCTCATTTCTACTTTTAAAAATTTACTTTTAAAATTATGAAATAATGCATGAATACAGAAACTTATAAAGTATAATATGAGAAATATCCCAGAATGGAAAACTCAACAGTGCCCAATATCAACAACATTTACTATGTTAATTTCAAGATTTTTTCTTTTTCCTTTTTCATTGGTTATTTTTCAAAATTCAAAGAGTACAGTAAGATTTGCACTTCATAAGGAAGTAAGAGAATTAGTCATTACTTTCTTAGCTTAAAAAATGTTAAATTATGGGAAACAATCATTTTCTGACATTGGACTAAGATGGTTAGTACTGTGATTCTTTAGAAAAGGCAAACAAAGCAGGTGAATACTAGAATCACCTGTACTTTCTGCCTGGAGATAGTTGTTGGACTGCAAGATAGACACATTTGACATCTCCCTTGAATACCCTTTCTTGATTCCATTTCTAGTCTTTTTTCTCCATCTTCACTCTCCTGGATTTTTTTTTTAAATCAATCCACACAGTTTAAAAAATACTTTTACTATCTATACATTACTTCTATCTTAGTCATTTGGGGCTGCCATAACAAAGTACCATAGATTAGGTGGCTTATAAACAGCAAGAATTTATTTCTCACAGTTTGGGAGGCTAGAAGTCCAAGATAAGAATAGTCGCTTCTGGTGAAGGCCCTCTTCCAGGTTGCAGACTTCCATATTTTTGTTGTATCTTCATGTGGTAGAAAGAAAGTAAGCTCTCTGGGGCTCCTTTTATAAGAGCATTAATCCAATTAATGAGGGTTCCCTCTTCATGACCTAATCACCTCCCAAAGGCCCCACCTTTTAATATCATCACACTCGGAGTTAAGATTTAAACATATGAGTGGGCAGAGGAACACAAACAGTCCATAAAAGTACTTTTATAAAAATAGTATCACACGCACTAGAGAGATAGCTAGATGATAGATAGACAGATAAATAGATAGATAGACACACACCACCTAATCTATGGTACTTTGTTATGGCAGCACCAACTAAGACAGAAATAATGTATAGATAGTAAAAGTATTTTTAAAACCTATATATATATTTTTTTGCTCAATACTGTTTTTGAGATTTAATGTATACTAATCCCTGAAACTTCAGTTTACTCTTTTTCACTAACACAGTGTTCTATTGTGCAAATCTATGATAATTTATTCATTCATCTCTGCTTTGATGGACATTTAGTTCATATTTTATACAGTGAGTCAATATTACTTTTAAAAAATTACAAACATTATTGGGTTGGTGATGAAAAAATATTAAATGAAGGGATTCCAATAATATATTTGACTGCAGTAGCTTATAGGAATTATCTGATTTTGCCATTAAAATGCAAATATTCACTGATAAGTTCTTTTTATATAGACATAAACTCTGTTTATAACTCATAACTTAAAATTCTTTTGTCTCCCATTTTTAAAAACCCTTTACTGTATAAAAGACTAAAAAGAATTTAAAAGAAAAAACAAAAACCTATTGTTACCTGTTTGTAATGGAAGTTTCCTAGGTAATCACATATCTAGCAAAAAGAGACAGTTTTAGCCTTGTTTAAAGGTCAACTGATTATTAATGTGCAATTCACCATTAAGTTGACATAAGGTTACTTATTTTTTTGAACCCAAATTTGGGACTCATGCTCATCCCTCTATCCCAGGAGTCTAGCAAATAATAGACAGCCAGTAAATATTTGTGGAATAAATTGATGTTGAATGTATTGATTTTTGCCTTTGAGAGAAAGTCTGGGAGAGGGCATGTTGGTGTCAAATGTGGACATTTCAGAATGTTGTATAATGAAATTTCAGAGTGTTTTATAATGAAAATTCTGGGCAGATTACATTCTTTAAATGGGTGTTATCCTAGAAAATCTGAGACTTGGTTTTGGTAAATCATAATAGATTCTTGTCTGCCTTGCTGACCCCTTTACTCAATACCTACTAGATGGCATTAAGACTTTAATGAAGAAGAACCAGATAGCAACATAATGGCTTATAAATCAACCCTCATTTAGGGAAATATATATGCAACATATGTGTATATACAGATCATATATATCATCCTTTTACTAGAAATTTCAAAAAGTTGACATATATTGATTCTTTTAAAATGTTATAGTTTTTGTTTATCGTTTGTTATTTTCTGTTTATACTTATTCTGATTTTTTCAATATACACACCTATGTAATTCAGCCATTTTCTGTTTTCAAGCTAAAACCTTTTTGTAGGTAATGTACATTTCCCCTCTTAACTGTCATGTTTTATTTCCTGTTAAAAAAGTGATTTATATAGTGAGGTAATTTGGAAAGGAAGTGAAACTGATGTCTAACTACTGTATGGTTGGAGTCATTCTTTTAAATGTGCTGGTGAAAATTGTTTACCGATCAATTTTTAAGGCTTATGTTCCATGCATTTAGTTTTCATTCAGTGATTTGCTCAGCAATATTTTTGAGTGCCTAAAATATGACAAATTAATTGTAGCAGTTTGGTGCAAAAGTACCTGCGGGTTTTGCCATTAAAAGTAATGTGCTGACATTACTGAATAATAACTGTGCTGACAATGTTGGTAGTACCAAGCTTTGTGTTCTATGGCACCACAACTAACATGCAGTTTAGTGTAGTGATTAAGAACAGTGGCTCTGAAGAAGTGCCAGGACTTAAATTTTAGCTGTGTGACCCTGAGCACAACATAAAACTGCTTTGAGCTTCAGTTTCCTCATTTTTAAGTGGAGACGATGGTTATGTTGGGCCAGAGCTACATCTCTTTGGGTCTTGTTTTCCTCAATTATGAAATAGAAGGTTGAACTAGGTTCTCATTAAGGGCAAACAAATGATTATTTGTGGAATGAGGAGGTACTTCTAGCAGAAAGCAATTGTACCTGTATTGCCTTAGAATAAATTAGACATGCTAGGAGGTCTCTAGGGGCTAGTCAGAAGTATAAATACTGTGCACTGAGATAGCTATTCTGTTCCTGAGATGTGCACAGGTTAAGCTTCTGTAGCGTTTATATTGCTATACCTGGGACTTATGCCAATTACTAACAATGATTATTCAGCCATTCTTTCTTTAACATAGTCAATAAAAAGTTATCTTTGTCAGGGCTGAAACTGAACAGTCACTGCTAAAGGAATCATTGCTTATATTTCTTCCCACTTTTAAGACTGTTAAGGAACGTCTTATAGACAGTCATAACACCAGATAAATTACTACTGCATATGTTACTCATAGAATTGTATTAGTCCGTTCTCATGCCGCTATAAAGAAGTACCCAAGACTGGGTAATTTATAAAGGAAAAAGGCTTAATTGACTCACAGTCCAGCATGGCTGAGGAGGCCTCAGGAAACTTATAATCATGGCAGAAGGCAAAGGGGAAGCAAGGCATCTATTTTGCAGGGTGGCAGGACGGAGTGATTGCAAGCAGGGGAAATGCCAGACGCCTATGAAACCATCAGATCCTGTGAGACATGCACTCTCACAAGAAAAGCATGGAGAAAACTGCCCCACGATCCAATCACCTCCACCTGGTCCCACGCTTGACACATGGGGATTATGACCCAATTACCTCCACCTGGTCCCACCCTTGACACATGGGGATTATGGGTAATGTGGATTACAATTCAAAACGAGATTTTGAGTCACGACACAGCCAAATCATATTAAGTATTTGCGGAGTGTGTCAGAATTCTGATACTTAAAAATTGGAACTATTTCTTTTTGAAAACCACTTCCAAATGTTTATTTCAAAGATCACATTTGATGGCTTGTTAGTTTTCTATACTTTTATTTAAAATTGTTCTATTTTCATCATTGCCATTATAGTATTTGGAGTAGGTAGTGTGTTTTAGACTGTTGCTTTTGTTACTTTGGTTTTGTTTGACATTTTGGGTTTTGGAGTTTTATCTGTTCTGCTTGATTTTGAAACTTATTTTCAGAACTAAGTTCTTAGAATGAATAACTTGAACTCAGCTTGTTTCCCAGGAGGAAAAATGTACACAAAACTGTTAAATTTGTCTGCAATTCTTCCCTCACCTGTACTGATATAATTTAGAACTTCCATGTTGCTTTATATTTTCAAAGTATTTTAGCGCTATTTTAATTTGTGTTATGCTTGTGGAATAAGAATGCCAAAAATACCCTAAAAGTAGGTTAGTTTATAAGGAATCTGTAAACATCTTGATTTTCCAAAAGAAAATAAAGGCCTAAACTAAAAATCAGAAATAACAGGTACAAATATTTAAATAAATGGAGTATGAAAAAGAAAAGTGTTTCCTGTGACAGAAGAAGAGGAAGGCTATTAACAAATGCTATTTTTGTTGTTGTTGTTTGTTTTAGAGAAAGGGTCTCGTTATGTTGCCCAGATTGAACTTGAACTCCTGGACTCAAGTGATCTATCACCTAAGGCTTCCAAATAGCTGGGACTATAGGCATATACCACTCACTGCACCTGGCTAATAAATGCTATTTTAAAAAAACAAGTTTAATGGGTTTCTTTTTAAACAGTACTTTAAAAATGTATTATATTGCATACAATAAGATGCACAAACCCTCAATTTGCACAGCTCAATTAATTTTGACAAATACCCGCCTTTAGCATCCCTCCATCACACAACTTGCATTAAGATCCTAGCTGCCTACAGACACATCTGTCTCTCCCTCCCCTCCCATCCCCTTCCACTAGAGTGTAAATTCTCTCAAGGTAGAGACTTGACTTAGGCTCACTTGCTTTCCTATGCCTTCACAGATCCCGGTGGGTACTCAATAAGTGGCGAATAAATTAATGAATAAGTACACATTCATTGATAGTCTATCCTATTAATAAGCCTAGTTACTTTTCTTAGTAGCTCAGACCTGGGAGGACATGATAAAGTTGTGTGTCCTCAATATCTTTAGCAGCCTCACCTCCGTCAGGTCTCTTCTTCACTGCAGTTCAGAGCTCCTCAAAGAGAGGCAATTAGGCAAAACATGCAAAATCATGGGGCAGACTTCTCCAGGAAACAAAAGGTTGTTTCAAATGTTTGGTTTTCAGAGTCAGAAACAGAGAGGTGGTAAAAAACCTAATCAATACCTGCCAGTTGACCTCTGGGGGCTACTCAAGGGGCTACTTGAGATGCCAGGGCTTGAAAATCCTTCTTAGAACTTACTCTTCATTATTCAACAATGTTTAGTGAGAGCAACCTCATAAAGATCAAGCATTAATTTAAAGTAAATTTGGACCAGGTGCAGTGGCTCATGCCTGTAATTCTAACACTTTGGAAGGTCGAGGTGGGAGGTTGGCTTGAGCCCAGAAGTTTGAGAACAGCCTGGGCAACGTAGTGGGACCCTGTCTCTACTAAAAAATAATTAGCTGGGTGTGGTGGCATGTGCCTGTAGACCCAGATACTCAGAAGACTGAGGTGGGAGGATCCCTTGAGCCCAAAAGTTGGAGGCTGCAGTGATCCATGATCACACGACTGTACTCCAGCCTGGTCAACAAAGTAAGACCTTATCTCAAAAAAAATAATAAAATAAAATAAATTTGTATTACTGATTGGAGACCACATTGCTATCTTGGGAAAGTATATTACATAGTATACTATTTGGTAAAAGGTAAAGGAAAAGAAAAATAGAAAAAAGTGAAAAGGTATAAACCATGCTTATGAGAATAAATTAGTTACATGCATGCTTGGAAAGGTCAAAATAGGCTAACTGACATAATAAACAAACAGACTCAAATTTAGTGGCTTAACTGTACCAGCTGTAGGTTTTGCTAATGCGCAGGCCAACTAGGTATTCCTGGTTCCATGGCTCTTCTGGGCATTTCTCCTACAAGTGGCAACTCGGAGCCAGGCTCCTGCCCTCTTGGGGTTCTTCCAAATCCTAGGGCCCAGGCGTCTCTCTGGACATGCTGCACTCAGCCAGCAGATGATGGGAGAGAAAGAACTGGAGGACAGAGAAGTGACATATATATATCTGCTCACATACCTTTGGCTAGACTTTGGTTCCTTGGCTGCATCCAACAGCAAGGCAAGATAGGACATGTAACCACTGTGTGCCCAGTGAAAAGGGACCTGGTGGTGGAATGTTAGCTTTTTTTTTTATTTGCCAAAGGTCTACTCTTATTTTTCCTCATTCTATAAACTGTCAAGTTCCTTTTTATTTAAAAACTAATTATTTTTAAATTAAAGAAATAAAGTTATCTGAAGAAAATATGTTGTTTGAACAGTCTGGAATTTTTACTTAAAGAGAAAGCTATAGCAGGTGCAAAACCAGAGTAAAGAAGCTGATCAGAGTTGCAGGGTAAGTGTGGAAGTGATTTGGACATAATTTAAGATGCCAGTACTTGCGTTTATTTCCCAAACAGCAAAGAAGCAGTGCAAAGGGCATAAACGAGACCTGATGTGGGTGGGTGGATGCAGGATTCCTTTGCCTGTCTTATAGAGGTTGCCAAGTTTACTGGCCTGGTAGCATTCACGGAGTGAGAACTCTGAGGTTAGGGGAGCCTAAGGCCTGTAAGCTTATTCCTATCTCTAGCCATGTCAGCACTCCAAAACAGTTTATACATCTGTGCATGGTGTAAATCTACTGCTCAGGAATTCTGTCATGCTGGAGTAATATCCACGTTCAACCTTAAAAATTTTTTCTGTTCCAGACCTGGAGAAATTGCCTTTACCCAGGCCTGAAAGTCAGGGCCAAGGAGTCTACCTTTTATGCTTATACTGGGATTTCCCACAGGCAGGCAGAGATATGACTCACCAGAGGTGAGAAATCATTTTCCTAACTTCAGAGACTAGGTTTTGGGGACCTAATAATGCTCTACTAATGTGGACAGAACTTCTAGCCTCTAAGGTAGGCTCACAGGCTTTGCTGCATCTTTGTTGTCCATTAAAGTGATTTTTATTAAACCTTTTCCTTTGTTACAGACTAGTAGATCAATACATAAGCTTCTTTTTGCAAAAAGCTATGTCAGAAGCAAACAAGTGTGGAATTCAATATAATTATGCAGCCACATGAGTATTACTTTAGAAAACATCTCTTTAGAAATGTTTTTATCTTCAAGTAAGCAATTTCTTACATTTCTTTCTTTTTAGCAATGTTGTGCAAATTAGAAATGGTTGGTCTTATTAAGTAAACTTGTCAAACTGAAAAGAAAACTGAAATCATGTGTTTTGACAGGTTTTCCTCCAGTAAGGAGGGAAATAAATGAGCATAACAAATGAAAAAACATAATTGCCTGAAGATTTTTATTGTCTCCTACTTGGGATTTGTATAGAATTAGACCTCCTTAACCAGCCTCCTGAGTTAACTCACTATTTCGATGTCCTGGCTACACCCAATACTAGCTTCTCTCCTAACATTATCTGCTAATACAGTTGCCTCCTTCAGCTAGATTCTAAGAACTCCTGGAGGCAGGTAGATCTGTATTTAATCCATGTATTTCTAGTGCATGACAAATTAGTAATAGTCAAGTGAGTAAGTATGGGGAAAAGTCCAGTAAAAGGAAAAGTGATCATTAAAGTTACTAGTGGCAAAGGCTCTCAAGTACATAGTCAAAAATATTTGCTTTTGGAAATGTTTCACTAAGCCCTTTCTATTTGAAAAATGAGGCAAAACTTAAAAAAAAGAAAGTTTCCTCCAAATCAGTGTATGCCAACCACTTAGCCCCTTGTAACTAAAACCCAGGAACATTGTGAATATAACATTATTTTACATGTTCAAAGACATAGAAGAGCTTTAATAAATGGTATGCTATTATCTCTTCTAATAGTGGTACAAGTGATCTTGGAAGAACCAAATAAACTCACTTTTCCCACCAGTTTGTCACTGTAGTCAAAACAGAGGTTTATAGATTCTCCTTTAATCTGTGTGCTTTGACTATAAGATGTGAATCAGAAGACTTTCAACAGGGACGTTAACAAGGACATTTAGTCTGGGCAGGGCTTGGTGGCTCACGCCTGTAATCCCAGCATTTTGGGAGGCCAAGACGGGACGATCACTTGAGGTCAGGAGTTGAAGACCAGCCTGGCCAACACGGTGAAATCCCATCTCTACTAAAAAATACAAAAATTAGTGGGGCGTGGTGGCAGGCGCTTGTTATCCCAGCTACTCGGGAGGCTGAGGCAGGAGAATCGCTTGAACCCAGGAGGCGGAGTTTGCAGTGAGCTGAGATTGTGCCACTGCACTCCAGCCTGGGCAACAGAGCGAGATTCTGTCTCAAAAAAAAAAAAAACAAAAAAAAAAAACAAAGAAAACACAGTTAGTCTGTTTACAATGTGTGTCACAGAGTATATTACCAAGAGATAATTTTTTTCTTCTCCTTCCTCTTTTTTTTTTTTATTTGATAGCCCAAGCTGTGTTTTGTTTTCCTCGCAATTTTATCTCCCTTCTGGCTGGCAATGGAATCTTCCGTGTTCATCAAAGACATTATAGAATGTTTATAAAGAACTGGTTCTTTATCCTTGAGTTTTTATCTCCAATGAGTCAAAATTATTATTCCATTTCGAATCTTAATCAGAAATAGGCCAGATAGCACTGTGCCATGAAAATGAAGATTATTTACATCAAAAAAAGTGAAAGATTCATACTCTGTTCTCTAAAAGTTGCCACTGAATGCAAGAGGCTCATTCTAAGGAGCATTTTTTATCGCTTGTGTACATCTGGATAGACTAATATTACCATCTGCTTTTGTGTCTGTCGTGAGGATTTTTTTTCACCCAACTTCTTTAAATGTTGAAATAAAAGTGGTTACTACCCTTATCAGTTTTTAAAGATTACAGTGACATCTTGTGGCATATAATTTTCCCTTTTAAAATTCCTGACCAGGTAAAAGTTGAATATGTCAGTTCTTGCCAAATAATTTTGGCTTTATTAATATAATATACATTGACCAAAAAAAAAATCTGATTACTGAGTAAAGTAGAAGCCAAATGAACAAAATCCATTCTACTTTATTTGGTTCAAATAAATATTTCCGAATAATTTAAATTAGAAAATAGATTTTTTAAATCTACCATTTATTTTAAATTTTCTTCTATCAGCCTCATTATAACATACGAAATGCCCTGGAAATCTGCTGTAATTTAATCCATGTAAAGACAATGAAATTAAAAATTAAAAGATTTCTGTTAAGGAAGTATTGTGTCATCATAACTTCTAGGAATTGTTATAATTCAGCTAATTAAAATAATCTTATTTGAGGAAAGACTTTTATTGAAAGAAAAACGTTTTCTATAACAGAATCGAACTTCCACCATTTAAGTCTGATAATCATTAGCCTCTTCAACGACTACCTCTAATTAGCAAGTGTAGTGTGTAAAGTGAGACTCCACTAAGGTATAATAAAATATATAATTTTTTTAAAGACACAGTAGACTAGAATTAATACTTCCACCCTCCCACTCTGCAAACACACATTTCGGTCATTAATGTTCACTTCCAAATCATGATTTAGGCATGACCAATTTGAGTCTTGTTCAGGTAACGCAGAGTCATTCTGCTGAAAATCATTACCATTTGCAGGGATCTTTTCTCCTTCCTTCTTCCCTTCATCACTCTCCCACCTACTTCCTCTCCTTTTGATTTTGAACTTTAAAATGACCCGTCTCATGGCCAACAAAAGCAATCCTTTTTTGAAATTATAGGTGATAATGTTTCTTCTTGCTATGTACTTTGATAAATATGATTCCTTGTAAGTCTTGTCGTGAATAATATACTATTTCATCTGATTTGAGACATCAATTGTTAGATACTCCTTTGTTTTATGTGCTACCAAGAAAGAAGAAAATCACTGTCAGCTAAATTGTGACCATTGACTAGAATAATTATTTTTAACTCATTCAAAATGCATTACATGTCTTTTAGACTTATTTAAATAAATTTTATTTTATATAATGCTTATGCATATTTTAAATTAAAAATATAAACAAAATATAATATTTCTGAAACACAGAGTCCAGATCCAAGTCACTCTCCATGCAGTGACTGCTGTCTGGTTTTGCCCACTCCATTGCCCTCTATGCTAGTAAGGACAGTGGTGATTCAGCTGTGCCCAAATAGAGCCCCAACTTTTGTCTCAAGGACTTTCTTTTAAGCTATTGACACACATTCTGAACATTTTGAAACTGGCACTTTATCTTATAGAAAAATCAATGGAAGGTCTTTTTACAATGACTAAGATTTACAATTCTTCCTCAAATGGTCATTAGGATTCTTCCTCAAGTGGTTTGTAGACTGACATACAAGAGATTACAGTTAGAAACGGTCATGCAACAAGATTACAACATGCACAGGTGATGACAGCTAAGTCATGGCTGCCACCTGACCACCACTGATCGTAAACACAATTGGCCTTTCCATTTTCATAAATGTTAAAGCGTGAACAATGATTTGCCTGAAAAGAGCTGAAATCTGGTAACATTAATGATAATAAGTAGCCTTTCCTGAATGACCGCTGTACTTATATTCTTCATATGCATTATATCATTTAAAACTTAGTATAATTCTATGAAGTAGATGGTATTATCTGAATATATAGGTGGAAATAAACAACTTGCTCCAAGGACAGACATCTGGCAAGTGGAAAATCTGGGGTTTAAACTCAATTTTATCTCGTTCCCAAACCAATATTTTTTTCCATAGGCATCTGTTAAAAATAGTTAAACAAAAATATCAGGAGAGAGAGTCACTCAATCATATATAAAAGGATAATCTCTCCATCAGCAATTTTCCTTGAATAACAGAGCAAAGAGCAATTGTGTGAACAAATGTCAGCTTTATATATGCGTGAATTATGAGAAAACTTCCAGAAAAGAGAGATGAAACATTGTCTCCTATTCGAGGAGGGGAAAAAACTGCTGCATCAGCTAGAAGCTGTGATTACTGCTGAAGAAACGTTTTCTGGGACATGCCATATGTCACAAATAACCACTTTACTTTTCCTCAAGGAAACAAAAATTCTGCAATTTTCAAAGAGAAGAGAATGCATCTATATTTAATATATATAATTAAGAGTGAATTTGGGCCAGGCACGGTGGCTCACGCCTGTAATCCCAGCACTTTAGGAGGCCGAGGCGTGCAGATTGCTGGAGCCCAAGGGTTGGAGACCACCATGGGCAACATGGCAAAACCCTGTGTCTACAGAAAAAAAAAAAAAAAAAAAAAAAAGAAAGAAAGAAAAGAAAAAATTAGCAGCGCATGGTGGCGCACACTTGTGATCCCAGCTACTAGGGAAGCCGAGATGGGATGATTGCTTCAGCCCAGGAAGTAGTTTGGCCCTTGGAAGAGCCAAAATCATACCACCGCACTCCAGCTTGGGTGACAGATTGAGACCCTGCTTAAAAAAATAAAAAATAAAAAATAAATAAAATAAAAAAAGGTGAATTTGGACCAAGAGCAGTATGTTTTTGGTTTGGGTCAGTTTTGTCTATTAATTAAATGTACTTTGCACAAATCTTTATCTCACCAAAATCAGAAATCAACATGACTACGATCCAGTTTTAAGTTCTTAGCTTACTAAAGTTAAATTATCTTCTATATTTCGAACCAAAGCAGTTAATAAAAAATTAAACTAATTCTTCTGTGGAAATCTCTCTTTTTCTTTATAAGACAGATTTTTATAAGCTATTTTTATGTGCATATGGAGGCTTCTGCATTCCCTCAAGAATAGCATTGCTGGCAGACATAAAACAAAGTGGCTGAGCTAAACATCATGTTCTCTATGTTTGCACAAATAAAAAAAAATCTCAAAATTTGTGTACAGTTGGAAATAGGCATAGATAATCTAAAACTTACATTTCCTGTAAAAAATGTTTTTATCCAACAATATTAGAAATGGCTATATACTTGAAAAGCAAACAAATAATTATTCAAAAATTGGAGATTTTGAGAACTGAGTTTAGAAATCCTTGCATCTTATTTTCCTATTTTATAGTGCAGATACTATCCTAAATGAAAGGGCAGAAGATTAATATTTTCCTATTTCTTCCTAGGGAGAAATTTTATGATGGAATCTATAACAACATAGGATGTATCTAGCATAATCAAAACCATCTTAACATTAAGGTAAAAGTAGAAAGTTGAATTAACAAATAATCGGTCAGAAAATCTGAGCATTACATGACATGTTCTTTCCATAAAAAAATGCAAAGCATTTTGCCCTAATTGCTTTTACTTATTTCCAATTCTAACATAGTATGTGAGCTTCTGGCCCACAGATATAAAGAAGCATATTTAAATGTTCAGGGAAATACATTCCATAAAAAGAAGAGACAATTAAGAAGAAATAGACCAAGAAAAGGAAATAAAATGCTTGCATATATACATAGCAAGCATAAAACTCAACAAGCAACCAATCTTTCACCATTTTGAACAAACAGCATCGAACATCTCAGTCATCATGTGTGCACATTTACATGACAGCAGGTGCAATAACAGATGCTCATAATGATGACATGTAATTACTGGAAAGGTTTTTAAGTTCAGAATATTAAAAAATACTCAATAACGAATATAAGACATTTTGGGAAGCTTTTCATAAAAAATGGTCAAAGTGAGGCATGTTAAAGCTTAAAGGGAGACTGACATCTGAAAAATTTACTTTTTGGAATCAGATAAATTCCTGATGATACTAAATAAAAATCAAGAAATATTGACATTATACTTTCTTCAACTATGTTAAGAAAAAATGGGTGAGACATATTGTTCAGGTTTATACCAGTAACTTAGAGCTTTTCTACTCAGAGTGTGACACATAGAGATACAGAATCCCAGTATTGACTCCTGGTCCTATTTAATCAAAATCTAAATTCTGTATTTCTATTCATAGAAATACAGAATCCCACTATTGACCCCTGGACCTATTTAATCAAAATCTAAATTTTACCAAGATTTCCACATTATTCTTGTACACACTAAAATTTGAGAATCACTAGTTTAGAAAACTTTAAAAAAATCCATTGCAAAAAAATCAACAGATTCCAAAAGTTGAGTATACAGTGTTGGACAATCCCTAAACTGCTATGCATGTAACTGACTTTAAACAGGAGACCAAAGGCTTTGAATATGGAACTCTGATGAGATTATTTTTTAGGATCAACTCAAAGAAAACCTCACCCAAAATGAAAAGCTTCCCAAAATGTCACCCAAATACATCATAAAGAAAGTGTTGAAGACCAAAGACAAAATCTTCAGAGAATAAAGATACAAATGACATATTACATACATGGCACACCAATTCAAATGACTGTGGAATTCTCACCAAAATTCATGGAGGCTAGAAGACAATGAAACAACTTTTTTAAAGTGCCGAAGTTAAACAACTATCAACCCAGAATTCTATATTCACTGAAAATATCTTTCAGGAATAAAAGTGAAAGAAATACATTCTAAGATTTAAAAAAAGACTAAAATATATTCTTAGTAGTATTCTCATTCCAAGAGAAATGCTAAAGAAATTTCTCTAGGGAGAAGGGAAATTATAACAGAAGGAAAACTCCAAACTTTACAAAGGAAGAGCAACCAAAATGGTCAATATTTATGTAAATATAATAGACTATGTTTCTCCTTTGAAGTTCATTAAAATATGTATGACAATTAAAAGCAAAAATTATAATTTCTGTCTGATGGGATTTCTCCATTGCATATACATAAAATGCATATAACAACAACCAGATAAGGGGACAGGGTAAGGGAATTACATAGTTATAAGGTTTCTACATTCTGCATGAACTAGTGAAATAGTAATACTAACAGGAATAAAAATTTAAGTTATAATCCCTAGAGACATCACTAAAAATTATCCACAGAGAAACAGTGAAAAGCCAATAGGTAAATTGAAATGGAATAGTAGGAAAAAATTCAAGTATTCTCAAAGAAGACAAAAAAGTGGAAGCAGAGGAATTAAAAAAAGTAGAAATGGAAACAAGTAATAAAATGGTAGATCTAAATTCAACCATATGAGTAATTAAACACTATATGTAAATGATCCAAACATACCAAGTAAAGATAGTCTAATTTGATATAAAGAACCAGACCAAACTAAATGCTGTCTACAAGAAACACATTTTAAATGTTATTTTAAATGACCGCATGATGCAAAAACTGATATAACTGAAAGGAGAAATAGAAAACCATGCAATTACAATTGGAGACTTAACACTCATGTCTCAGTAATTGGTAGGACAAGTAGCCAGAAAATCAACAAAAATATAGATGACCTGAACAATATAATCAACTTCCTTGACCTAATTGAACACTCAAACTACCTAATTTTAAGGTTTATTAGAAAACTACAGCAATCGAGACAGTGTGATATTGGAGAAAGGATAGACACACAGATTAATAGAACAGAATGGAAAGACCAGAAATATATCTACACAATATGGTAAAAATTAACTTTTTTCTATTAAAAATGGCTTTTACTGTAAAAGATTGTTTTTACTATCCTATAAAAACCAGTTTTTTACAGTAAAAAACTAATTTTTTACAAAGTAGCAAGGACAAATTGAGAAAGAATAGTCTCTTCAATAAATAACGTTGGGAAAACTGGACATCTGTATGCCAAAAAACAAGCTATATTCCACACCTTATACAAAAATTAACTCAAAACGAACCATATACTTAATTAAAAGCCATCAAACTATTAAGAGAAAAAACAAGACATATTCTTCATGACTTTACGTTAGGTACAGTTCTTTGATACAACACCGACAACACAATCTTAAAAAAATTATTTCACTTTTGAAGTCAAAAATGTTTTAGTATCTTTCAGTATCTGTGAAAGACATTGTTAAGACAATGAAAAGACAAGCTATTGACTGAAAGAATATATTTGCAAGTCACATATTTGACAAAGAACTCATATCTAGAATATGAAAGAACTCTCAAATCTCAAAGACAAGAAAACAAATAACCTAATAAAAAATGGGCCAAAAATTTTAACAGATACATTACCAAAGAAGATATACATATGAAAAATAAGCACATGAAAATATTCCCAACTTTAGGGAATTCAAATCAAATCATTCGGAATATACAGATTTAAAGTACGATTAGATACCACTACACGTGTATTAGAATGGCTAAAACATGCACACACACACAACCTGATACTAGCAAGTGCTAGTAAGGATTTTTGGAATTATCTCATTTGGCTCATATATTGCTACTAGGAATGCAAAATGGTACACAATCATTTTGGACAACACTTAGGCAGCTTCCTGTAAAGTTAAACATACAGTTGTTACATAATGCAGCAATCTCAGTCTTGGGTTTTTATCATACAGAAATGAAAACAAAATTGTTTCATACAAATTCACACAAAAACTTGTATATAAATATTTATAAAGCAGCATTGTTTATAATCACCAGCAATTAGAAATAACCCAAATATCTTTCATGGGTGAGTGGATCAACAAATTGAACTACTGATACACATAACTTGGATGAATTGCAAAAGCATTATTGCTTAACAAAACAATGTCTTGAAAGTATACATACTGTATCATTCTGTTTATATGATATTCTGAAAAAGACAAAATCATAAAAAGGGAGAACAGATGAATGGTGGCTAGAGGTTGCAGGTAGGGAGAGGCTGTGACTAAAAAAAGAACAAAAGAGTTTATGCTAGGGAGGGAACTGTTCTGTATTTTGTTTGTGGTGAAGGTTATATCAATCTACACATTTTAAAACGCATTGAACAGTGCAGTAAGAATAGTGAATTTTGGTGTACGTAAATTTGTAAAATCATAGCAATTTAAGATACTTTAGAGACAGTACAATTTCATTAGGAACTTAGTGTCATTATGTATCCTTACTTAAAAATAGAAGAACTGCAGAACTACCAATACGTTGTAAAAAAGAACTCCCAGTGTTACAAAGGCTGGTGCAAGAGTCTAATCATTTTCCTTAAAGTACAAGTTTACAACAAGTTTGCCTTTTTCAGTATTTCTTTCCTGGGTCATATTATGTAGACATAATACAAAATGTAATCTGTTAAATAGTACTGAGCTGGGAAAAATGAACATTTCAGATCAGATACTTTAATTGGCTTAGGGTCTACTCGGACTTCTTTTGAAGGTTATTTCCCTTTATGGTCCTACTACAGACAGAAGCACCTGGTATGAATCTTTTTTTTTTTTTTGTGGTTGTTGTTGCTGAGACAGGGTCATGCTCTGTTTCCCAGGCTGGAGTGCTGTGGCATGATCACAGCTCACTGTAGCCTCAAACTCCCAGGCTCAAGTGATCCTCTCAGCTCAGCCCCTCGAGTAGCTGGGACTACAGGCATGCGCCACCACACCCAGGGTGGTAGTTTTTATAGAGACAGGGTTTCACCACATTCCCCAGGCTGGTCTCGAACTCCTGAGCTCAAGTAGTCCACCTGTCTTGGCCTCCCAAAGTGTTGGGATATCAGGCATAAGCTACCCAGTCCAGCCTGGTATGAATCTTGTTAGCAAGTCTGGCTTAATGGAAAATCCCTTTTAAAAATGCATTTTTACTGGCAAAGGAATCATTACATTCATTCACTCACATATAAACTAGACATTTGGTAGGTAAAAGGCTGATAAATTCAATATGTGTGTCAAATAGAGTAATATAATTTAATAAACTATTAGTCTCTTTTCAGTTACCTAATTGCATATCATTTTTGGTTAGTCATTTAATTTATCTAGACCTCAGTTTATACATTTTTAAAATGGCAATAATATTTTTTGCTCTATCTTAAAGACTGCGGAATTTGAATGGAAAATTCAACAGGAAAGCACTTTACAGAGCAGAGAGTCTCTGTGTGAATGAGTTTCATGTTGTAAGCAAATTTCTTCCTCTTTTTCTCTAAAGGGGCTTCCTCAAGTTTTTTGGGGAAAAATGACATCAAGCATCCTTGGGGGAGGGTAGATTGCTTCCCAGTAAATAATGATGGATGTGGAAGGACTTCTCTCATCTATTGTCAGACTGAGGATAAAAATCTTCAGTGCAGAGAGTAAGCCATTCAAATAAACATTTAAAAAATAAGGAAAAATGCAGACACAAGCATGTGCATACACACACACACACACACACACACACACAGAGAGAGAGAGAGAGAGAACCTAAAATGGAATGGAACAGTGCGGTTTTCTGGTTCAGTTTTCAGGCAGAAAAACATACAAACTAAGTTCTTCTAAATAATATATGATCTGGAAGTGGGCCAGAAGTTGCTGGTATGTGTGTTCCACTTATCAAATGGTGAAGACTTGAGGGATGCTGGTTTTAGATTTGCCCACACAACTGCACTCCTTTATACACTCCTTTTCCCTGTCCCGATACATCATCCCTAGTGATTCTAGCATTTTTTTGGAGAACAAGAACTGAACTAAAACAATGTGTTTTGGGTCCCTGCTCATATGGGTCTGGGATTTCTTTTTAATGATGCACTTTAGTCAAGCTGGAGATTTGTTTTTAGTTTAGTCCAATATATTTTTTAAAATGTGTTAAAATATTAACAGGCAGACTAGCTTTCCTGAAAGGAAACAGCTACATGGGAGCCTTGTTAGGGTATTTTTTATTGAGCCTATACCTTGGGGCAGTCTTATAATGAAGCCATTTAACTAAAGAAACTTGCCCTCTGTCTAAGGCATGCTTCTCTAAACGAATCCTCTCTGTAACAGACAGTGTTGTAGTGAGCCTCTGAGAATATGGTAAGGCTATTGATTTTTTTAGCAGCCATTTTTTTGTATTACAAATATTCATCTTCTTTTCTCAACATTGCAACAAAGACCTATACTTAACAAAGATGCATTTCAAGTAACCTTTGGCCAATAACTAAAATGCCCCAAGCCATTCTGGTTAACAAAAAAAGAATTTTTTTTTTAGATAAGAAAAATGTCCATCATTATAAATCAAGAGGCTGATTATACACCAAAGGCAGTGAATTATAATATGTATAATGCACACATACTTAATGAGAATAAAATGTTTTCACCATATTTTCTTTATTCTAATTACTTTTATAAAACCCCAACTTTTTCTGGTGTTCAAATAATCATCTCTATTTAAGACTGATTTTAACAATTATTTGGTTATTATGATGAAGTCAAAACTTATAGGATTATATTGTCTATAACTATTCAGTCTAGCCTATTGAATACATAAAAAGTAAAATCAAGACTTAAAATAAAAGCAAAATCTACATAATTACGTTGATTTTCTCTAAGAAAAAGGTTCAAAAAGTAAAAAGTTTTGGCAAACTGTATACTGTGTGTGTATTAATTTATTCGTTTAAAGGAAATTGAACTTGACTATGTTGCTTTTTCAAAACAAACAAAAATACTGAAGATATTATAAACCAAGTCAAACAAAATGAAAAACTTGGTTTATCAAGTACTCTATTCCTAAGCATTCCACAAGCATACTAACAACACAGGAGAATCTTTTCTTATTTAAAGGATATCTCAATGGTATTGAAATATTTTAAGGTAAACCTTCTGAATAGTAGAATTTAATATCAGCTAATAAAAGTTGCATTTTGGGCTTTATAAAATCCACATGATTGACCAGGCACTGTGGCTCAGGTCTGTAATCCCAGCACTTTGGGAGGCCGACCGAGGCAGGTGGATCGCCTGAGGTCAGGGGTTTGGGACCAGCCTGGCCAACATGGCAAAACACCATCTCTATTAAAAAATACAAAAACCAGCTGGGCGTGGTGGCGGGCGCCTGTAACTCCAGCCACTCAGGAGGCTGAGGCAGGAGAATCGCTTGAACCCAGGAGTCGGTGGTTGCAGTGAGCCAATATCGCGCCATTGCACTCCAGCCTGGGCAACAAGAGTGAAACTCCGTCTCAAAAAATAAAAAATTAAAAAAATCCACATGATTGCCTAATGACATTTACTCTTCCTTATAGGTAATTCATTTCATTGACTGATGGCCATACAAATGTAGAAATAATGTTTAACAAGTAGTGATATGGTAATGAAGAATATCACAAACTCATAACACCAATACTGAAACAACATCAGTTAACCCAACCTGTATATATTACACATGAAAACAAGAGCACTTTTCTATAATAACCTATGAATAAACTATAAGTCTTCTGAAAATATAAGCTGTAAAAGATTGTGCTAAGTACTATGTCCTTGGGCATCCATAAATTCTTTTGTGAATAATGCCTATAAATATCTTCATATTTTTAAAGAATATATTTCAAGTGCTCTAATATGCAGAGGAATTACGCATTTGTCCATAGCATGTAATAGAAAAAAAAAAAACTTTAGAGTAAAACTATTTTTCCCCATTTTGGACAAGTATATTGCATTTTTTCATGATACTGTCACCCCACACCCCCAAATCCCTCCAAACTCTATAAAAATTATACAGACATTCTATTCCATTTATAAAAATATCAAACATGCAAATATTAAGTAGAGTTATGCTAACAAAGTGAGAAACAGCAGTCTGTGGACAAACATGAAAGGCCTTACTTGGGAGTTTGTTAGAAACACACTCCAGGCTATTCAGACCACCCCCTAGACCTACTGAATGATAAACTGAATTTTTAATAAGATCCCCAGGTGATTCCATTACACAATAAAGTTTGAGAAGCATTGATTTAATACACTTGTTGATTGATCTAAGTTTCTATAAATTAACCATATCTAAAAAACTGGTTATAAGTGAGTATTCCATATGTACCCTTTACTTTAGCAGTATTCAAGATTTAGCATGTAACAGATTCACCAAGAAAGCTTGGGGGAAAAAGTGGATTTTCAAGTTTTTGAATTTAGTACGTCTAAGATCTGGCCTGGTTTTCCCAAACTCTCATGAACTGAATTAAAGTTAATGATAATTGATAATAACAATTCTTGTAAACAGGTCCAAATCAGCACAATACCTAATACATAAGAAAGTAACATGCAAACTGTTTCTGTTAAATTTTGAAATGTGTCAAACTTTTTCTGAAACTGTTCATCATAGAATTACAAATTTGGCATTAAACAGAAATAGTTCATTTCATGAGATATTATGAAATATTTTTTTTCCAAGAAATATTAAAAGATAAAGTAATTTACTGGAGATCTTGAAGTTGACACTACCTCCTTTGGAATCAACTATTTATTGTATTAGAAAATAAGACCAATATATTCTGCAGAGAGCTACTTATAACTCTCTCCAGATCTCAAACACAAATGCATCCAGTAGCCACTCAGGTAATTAACGGGAGAAACAAGGAACATGATACTCCAATTACAGACATTCAAAATGTAAAAGCCCCATGTAGAGCAAACAAGAACACTTCTGTGGGCAGCGTTCAGTCCCGTGACTTGCCATTTTCCAGTATGCGTGCTAGCATGGTTTTTCTAATTAACTCTCCCGTGACGTGCCAAAGTGCATATTTTTATTTTTAGTTTGCTCGTGTGGTTTATTTTGGGGCTTTTGGGAAATTGTAGCTTGGATTTTACTTACAGCAACAAAACACAGTGATACACCAGACTTGTAAACTCCTTTAGGCATATGAAGCCAAATGAATTTTCAATGATTTGGAAAAATGAGCTATAGGTATCTGAGATTTGCATAGCTCTGTTGTTTTTTTCTAACAGGTCTTGTCATGAAGCAATACGAAAGATGTCCAGTTTGTATTCTTTTGCCTACGCTATACACTTATTTCCAAGAAATTACAGTGAGAATTTTTGTGGAGTACCTGTCTTCACCTCACTTGTTATTGCTTGTTATGCATAAGTTTATAATGCTATTTTACTATGATGTTTTGATCCTGCATAAGAGATTTAAGAGGTAGAGAAACATTGTTTCCAAAGTTCACCTAGAGATATCTTTATACTACAACTTCTAAAATAAAAAAATAGATCTAGTCACATGTTCAATAGGTACTTTTATTTTAAACAACAGCACACAAACACAATGACATAACAGGACCATTAGCTTAATACTGATAACATTCCTTGACAAGTTACTTATAATTTACATATATTGTTTTTATCTGGAACTATTTTAAATATTATCTTAAGATATACTGTAAAACACAAATCCTAAATATATACCAGTTGCAAACATAATGTGCTTAGTTACTGTTTTCCTTGTTATTCAAATAAAGTAACTTAAAGTTCTTCGAAATCATGTCCACTTGTGTTCATTGTTTCAGGATGCATGACTCGTCCCATGAATAGAATTGTACCTGTATTGGTTCAGAAGTAAACAAAAGAGGGGGTGAACAAAATAATAAAATATTTATCTTCCTTCTTGCTTACAATTAATGAAAATATGTTATTTTCTCCTTCCTTCCTTCCTTCCTTCCTTCCTCCTGTCCTTCCTTCCTTCCTCTCTCTCTTCCTTCCTTTTCCCTTTCCCTTTCCTTTCCTTTCTTCTTTCCTTCTAGAGAAAGGCTCTTGCTCTGATGCCCAGGCTGGAGTGCAGTGGCTCTATCAGAGCTTACTGTAACTGTGAACTCCTGAGCTCAAGCATTCCTTCCACCCCCAACACCTCTAGTAGCTAGGATAACAGGCATGTGCCACCATGCCTGGCTAATTTTTTAAAAATTTTATTTATGTAGAAATGGGGTCTCACTATGTTACCCAGGCTGGTCTTGAATTCCTGGCCTCAAGTGATCCTCCCTGCCTGGAACTCCTGAAGTGCTGAGATTAAAGTCTGAGCCACCTCACCAGCCTTATTTTCATTAAAAAAAATCATTTCAACATTATAAACTATCTGATAATTCAGTTGGTCAATCTCTGGAAAGAGAATAAATAAATAAAATTGTGAAAAGAAATTATATGATGAGTACTGAGGAAAAAAATCTCCATTTAAAAAAGAGGTTCTTTGTGACCTATTAAATAAAATTTTGTTTTCATAATAAACTTACCAGTTCTCCTGTTTCTGATAAGAAAGAAAAATGGATGGTCGACAATAACTTGAGGATACAGCACAGCCATCCTACTAATTGCAATCATTCCTACAGTGCAGATAAAAAGTAATTATATGTCTGTGGATGTGCAGAGACTAATGAGTAATTCCTCAAAACCATCTATGCCTATCCACCTAATGCAAAGACAACAATTTACAGGAAACAAGATTTTAAAGACTTAACTGGAGAAAAATTATAAAGGTGTTAACATTTCTACTTGATCTTTTTAAAAAGCAAAACGAAACAAAACAAACACACACCACAAACAAAACAAACAAACAATTTCTTCCTTCTACTCCATTAAAAATAATAGGACAATTTATTCTGCTTGTTATGAAATGTTTATTCTCAGCCTCACATAAATATGTGTGTCTTTACTAAAATGACTTTTGAGTAAAAGGAAGGGGGAGAATAAAGAAAAAAATCCCCAAACAAAAACTGAAGAGAGTTTCTCTATATTTTCAAATCATTATTTCTTTTGTCTGAAGCGGGTATTTTTACATAGGAAGTCACCAGGTTTCTAGTAAGTGGTCAAGATGGCAGTGATTAAAGGGAAAATATAACAGTGAGAGATACAACGAGGTATCCTATGACTGGGCTACTAAATTCCCCTGAGATCCTCATTATAAGATGATATATACTTGCTGCAGTATAGTTAATTGTCAAAAGAAAGTCCAGATTACATGTAAGATTTCAAGCTGTCTTGATGCCTGAGGCTACTATGCTCTTATTTACTTCGGAAAATACTATCCTATCATGAAAGTGATAGAGGTGGGGTATGTTGGGATAGTTAGTGGGTACGAAAATACAGTTAAATAGAATGAAGATCTAGTATTTGATAGCACATCAAAGTGATTATAAGTCAACAATTTGTTGTACATTTAAAAATAACTGGAAAAGTATGATTGAAATGTTTGTAATAAAAAGAAATGATAAATGCTTCAGGTGATGAATACCCCATTTACCCTGATGTCATTATTATGCATTACATACCTGTATCAAAAATATCCCATATTCTCCATAAATATATACATTTGCCATGTAACCATGAAAATAAAAAATAAGAACTTTTTGCTGACAAAATTAAGAATCAACTTCAGCAAATAATTTGGTAGGAAGAAAAATGTTTAAATGGGTAGCAGGAAAATATTTAAAATATTTAAACAGGCAGCACAGCAGAAAAAATCTATTTTCGCAGAACTGCCAATGTCCTCCTGTCTCTCATTAGAGAGAAAATGAAGATGAGAGTTATCTGTAAAGGGGCACTGGAGTGAGTTCACACTTCACATTCTATTTAGAAAATTCCGGCTGGTTCAGCATTTGCTTGACTTCTAAGTTAGAGCAGAGTGACTTTTTTGGCTTCATTTTGAAAATGACCCCACTCCCCACTCAAGATTGCTCTAAAAATACAAATCTAGAAGAGGGGAGAAGATTCTAGCAAACAGTACCTGAGACAGCAGCAGCTTCTGAGCCTTCTTCATTAACCTCTAGGAAGGACTTGTGAATTGCTTTGGAAAGAAAAATCTCCTTATTATCTGCAAAAAGAGAATCAGAAATTTTTTTTTTTCATTCAGAGATAGGAAAATATTTTGCCCTTTTGTTAAATGGATTTTAGAGATCTAAGAGACTGGGATACTGAAGAAAACCTAGGAGATAATGTTAAAAGATTTCATTAATGAGATAACCATTGAAGATGTGGTTTTTAATTTGCCCTCATTTTATATTCTTTTGCTAATTTTCTTTTCTGTTTTTATTGGTGGTTTTCCCATATGTATGTCTTATATTTTCAGAAAAAGTGGAAACTTTTTTTACTAGTGACTTCAAATTATTTCATAAGTCAAGACTAAAATATCTCACACATTGCTCTTTAATTTTAAATATAAAAGTATGAAATGAAAACAAGTAAAAATTCAGAAACAGCCAGAATAAAAAATTTTTTCCTTTTTTAACCTAATATTTAATTACTATGATAATGTAAATACCCTTGGCAAAGAAAAATGAAATTGACTTCTAGATTCATAATGTAAATTTATGAAAAAGTTACTTTCCATTACAATTAATTGGTTTATCTGAGGATTCACAAACACGTTTTATCCTAAGATAAGAGGAAATAACACATTTTTAGCATTAGGAGGACTGTTTTTCCCTTCCTATTTATGCCTGTTTTAAGGTAATGGCTGTTATAGGCTATATTATGTTTTACACAAATTTATATGTTAAAGTCATAACCCCCAGTACTTCAGAGATTGACTATATTTGGAGACAGAATTTTAAATTTAAATGAGGTCATTAGGGTGGGTCCTAATCCAATATGACTAGCGTTCTTATAAGGAGAGGAAATTTGGACACAGACAGGTACAGAGGGAAGGCCCTGTGTAATGGTTAATTAACTCTACGTGTCAGCGTGGCTGAGCCATGGTGCTCAGATATTTAGTCAAACTGTCTGGATGTTTCTATAACAGTGCTTTTAGACGAGATTGACATTGGTAGACTTTGAGTAAAGCAGATTACCTTCACAATGTGGGTAGGCCTCATCCAATCAGCTGAGGGCTTTAATAAAACAAAGACTGGCCCTTCCCAAGCAAGGAGGAATTCTGCCAGCAGGCTGCCTTTGGGTTGCAATTTTTTTCCAGGTCTCTACCTGAAGATTTTGAGCATCCAAAGCCTCCATAATGATGAGCCAATTCCTTAAAATTTTTCTCTCTTCAGAAATATGTATATAATGACTAATTATGTATGTATATATGTTTGTATATTTACACATACATATGTTACAGGATCCTTGGGGTGTCGCTTCATCAGCTGGAAACCTCTGTTGCCAGTGGTGCCTTTGCCTGAGTTTTGCCTAGGCCTGCTGGGTTCATTGTGCCCACTCGGCCTGGCAGGCTGCACTTGGCTTGTGCTACCAGCCCGGATCCCACACTTGCCAAGGGCGAGCCAGGTGTGGAGTGGTGAGAGGCATGTGAGTGAGCGAGCATGGGGTCTGTCTGCTGCACACAGTCAGGCACTCTGGCTACTGTGGGGCAGGCAGCTCCAGGCACTGGCATGGATGCTGGCTCACTGCTAGGCTGCAGCTGGACCAGAAGTACCACAAGCAGCTTCCACTGCTGGCACCAGGAAATGTGGTGGCGTTTGGAAGCTTGGAGACACCGGGAACCGCAGAGCTTCAAAGCGGGTGTCACAGCCCTGGCTCGGGAGCTACTAGGTCTGGGCTCCCTGAAGGGCCACGGCACTTCTCTTCTCTCTTCTCTCCTTCTTGCTGCCTACAACACGGCGAGCAAGGGGCATGTTTCAGCCCTATTTGTGTTACAGCTCTTTCAGTCCTGCCATTTGGTGGGTCCCAGGTTCTTGTCTCACATCCAGGAAGAATGAGGCATGTAGACAAGTGGAGGGTGAGCAAGGCAAAGAGGTGCTTTATAGAGTGACAGAACAGCTCAGAGAACTGCAGTGGGTAGCTCCTCTCTGCAGGCGGGTTGTCCCAACGAGTGTCCAACTCTTAGCAGAGAGGAGACCCACAGTGGGTAGCTCCTCTCTGCAGGCAGGTCATCCTGTCATCTGCTCAAGTCTGACTGAGTTTGGGGGTTTTTATAGGCTTCAGAGGGGAGGAAGTATGTGCTGATTGATCCATGGGTGGCCACAGGTGGCGCGGAAAAAGCACCGTAAGTTCTCATTCTGGTCCACAGAACTGGCAGCCTGGACCCCAGGCCTCAGGTCATCCCTGGCCTGAAGGTGGGGTTTCACTGGGGACCCTCCCCTTTCCACCCAGGAGCCTGTCTGCCTCCTGCCACCATTGGCCTGCCCTCCACAGTACCCATGGCATCCAGGCTGTCCGTGCTGAGCGGCGCCTGCAGGCCTGCACTGAGCTGCCTTTAGCCCCCTCTTGGCCTCCCTCCCATGCTCATCAGTGCCCAAAGTCTGGAGGGGGCCCAGTCGGCAGGGGGTTGATGTGTCAGCACTGCCCCAGGCATGTGCACACCCGGCCAGCTCATGACAGCACCTGGACTGGGCCACAACTTTGCTCAGAAATCAGAGTGGTCTCCGGGATCAGGGAGAGGCCAGGCAGTAGGAGCAGGCACTTCTGAGCCTGCAGTGGGCAGGGGCTTCCTGGGCCTGGAGAGTGCAGAGATGCCCAGGTCCACAGCAGCTGTGCCCAGGTTGGCTGGGCTCCCGCCTCTCCAACTCAGAAGGGGGCAGGCTTCCACTTCTTCCCAGCTCCTGCTGGCTCCATGGAGCATGAAGCCCTGGCTGCTCCTCCCTCCCTTGCTGTAGCCGGGGTCATGGGAGCGGCCACTCCAGACAGGCCACCACTGCCATCATGTAAATATGACTAATATACCACGTGAAGATAGAGGGGACAGACGGCCATCTACACACCAAGAAGGGAGGCCTCAGAAGAAACCAACTTGCTGACACTTTTATTTCAGACTTACAGCCTCTAGAGCTGTGAGAAAATAAATTTCTGTTTTTTAAGCCACTCAGCCTGTTACTTGTTACAGCAGCCCTAGCAAACCATAAAATGGCATTCAATCTTGGGGTTTCAACTTTTCCCTAAGAAAGAAACAAAACAAACAAAAGATGCCTCAAATACATTTTTCGAAAGAGCACAGGAGAGTAAGAAAAAGAATTACTCAAATTTATAACCCCTCTTTCAATTCCAGGAGATCTAATTCAGATTTCAGATAAATAACTTTGTTGCTGATGTCCAGCATCATTAAAAGCACAATTGATTTCCCATTAGGTTGCTTAGTTAGACTTTGTAAGTATCAAGTTCTACCCACAAAATACATTTTCCTTCAAGCTTTGAAAAGCACATAATTATCTTGTACATATAAGGAAGGATTTTCAACATTTTGGTACATCTGTTACAGAGGACCTGATTACTTTGAATAAGCCCCAAGACAACTAACAATGGCATCTCTGAATATACTTTTAATGGGAATATTACTTCCTCAGATCTTATTTGGTATTAAGATATAAGTAGTGCATTATTAAATAGTCCATTTCACATATTATGATGTTTTCTTCTAGAATGTATTTGTTGACTAGAAGAAAAATAAAAAAGCAATCAAGTTTTCACATTTAGTAATAAAGTATAATTAGCTCCCTCAAATCCAAAAGAGTAGTGTTTTTTTTAAGAAAAATTTAAATTGTGTTAAGTAACCGAATATATTTAGTTGGTAAAATCAGCACATAAATTTCAAGACAGTAGCTGGGCGCAGTGGCTCATGCCTATTATCCCAGCACTCAGGGAAGCTGAGGCAGGAGGATCACTTGAGCCCAGAAACTCAAGACCAGCTTAGACAATATAGTGAGACTTCATCTCTATGTAAAATAAAATAATACTAATTTTAATTTTAAAATAGTAATAATAAAAAAGAAAACATTTAAAAAATAAATTTTAAGACAGTAAAATATATTAACTAGCAGCTATTTGATGCTGTATTATTTTCAGATTCTGCTGCCCATTTTCATCAGTCTGTGAGTTAAGCATCAAGAGCCAATATCATGACCTTGAATACAAAGGTGCTAGAACCCAGTTCCTACAGGGTAATGAGTATCCACATTGTCAGCTAAGCCCTTCTGAAGAATTCTAAAAGGGGTTCTCCTCAAAGACACCACATAATATTCCAACTACATCAATTTGCACATAGGAAATTGCCTCCAATAGCTATGAGGCTTGACCAGCTGGCTGCAGTAGGCACTTTGAAACAAGAAAAATCATCCCTTTATTACTAGCCTGTGTCCCAAATGTTGTAATATCCTCTAGTCACCTACTTTATTGCCTGTTCGCACTTGCCCCACCAAAATGATGGTGGTGGTAGTTGTGGCAGGGATATTGCAAGGTACTTACGGCAGAAAGAGAAAGAAAACAAAGATGCTAAGGGTTATTCTCAGAGAGCTAGTTATTTAAAAGATAATGAACTGGACAAACTTTTAAACAAAATTCATTAAAAAAAAGAAGAGATTGTCCAAATAAACAATATTAAGAGCAAAAAAAGAACATACCCAAGAATATGGAAAATAATTTTTTATCACAAAAAATACTATGTATAATTTTCTGCAGTAAATGTTAATTAACTTTATGAGATTATAAGTTATTTACTATGAATATCTATTATACATGATTTGATAAGTTTTGATAGATATACATATATCTGTGAACCTTTCTCCACAAATAAAATACAAAATATTTGGCCGGGCGCGGTGGCTCACACCTGTAATCCCAGCACTTTGGGAGGCTAAGGTGGGCAGATAACCTGAGGTCAGGAGTTCGAGACCAGGGTGGCCAACATGGTGAAACCCCGTCTCTACTAAAAATACAAAAAAATTAGCCAGGCGTGATGGCGTGTGCCTGTGATCCCAGCTGCTAGGGAGGCTGAGACAGGAGAATCTCTTGAACCCGAGAGGCAGAGGTTGCGGTGAGCCGAGAACATGCCATTGCACTCCAGTCTGGGTGACAAGAGTGAAACTCCATCTCAAAAACAAACAAACAAACAAACAACCAAAATATTTCCATCTATCCTAAAAAAGTATTTGTTCTTTTTTATGCGAATAATTTTGAAAATGAAGAGATTTACCATGAGCTAGACTCTTTTATAGAAATGTGTAAATTATAAAATTTGGCCGGGCGCGGTGGCTCACGCCTGTAATCCCAGCACTTTGGGAGGCCGAGGTGGGCAGATTACAAGGTCAGGAGATCGGGACCACCCTGGCTAACACGGTGAAACCCCGTCTCTACTAAAAATACAAAAAAAATTAGCCAGGCGTGGTGGTGGGCGCCTGTAGTCCCAGCTACTCGGGAGGCTGAGGCAGGAGAATGGCGTGAACCCAGGAGGCAGAGCTTGCAGTGAGCCGAGATCCGGCCACTGCACTCGAGCCTGGGCGACAGTGCATGACTCTGTCTCAAAAAAATAAAAATAAATAAATAAATAAATAAAAATAAAATTGAGTCAAGGAAAAAAATAGAATATTTGAATAATCCAGTAACCATTAAAGTAATTGAATCAGTATACAAAAACTTTCTCCATCCTTGAAATTAAAGACTCCAAGCCTAGATGGTTTTCTAGGTGATTTTAACCAAATCTTCAAGGAACAGATAGGATTGCCTGTTGTAAAACCGTTCTAGACATTAGAAAGAGAATAAAAGCTATCAAACTCATCTGTGGATATTTTACTTTGCTGTAAAAAATGAAAAAAACCCAACAATATAAGAAAGAAAATCATAGACCAAGCTCACCTATTAGCGTGAAGATAAAATTCCTTAGAAATCAGAAAATTAAACTTAGCAACATATACAAATCATCTTTTTGAATGAATTTCAATGGATGTTACAGTGTGTCATGACTCAGCAGTAGAGAAATGCTCTCCTGACTGCCTCCAGTTCACCTTAAAGCTTCCTCCGGGATGATCTTATCAAAATACAAATCAAATTATGCCACTACTCCACTTAAAACATTTTATCCCCTCTCCTGCTTGCTCTCCCTCTCACCTCACCTTCAGTATATTGCAAACCTCCATACCTGCTCAGTATAAACTATAAGGACCTCCATCAGGCTGCCTTTGCTTCCTTCCATTAGCATTCTTTGCCCCATATGCCGTGCTTCAAATTATATGAACTGAAACAGCCTCAACATAGCACGCTTTGTCATTTCTGTATCTTTGTTTCCCTAGAAGCTCCCTCAACTTTTGTTGTATAGTAAGACACCTAATCTAGTTTAGAAGCTCAGCATCTAGCTCTGTGAGGCTTTTTCTGCTCTCCTCTAATTCCTAAATCACTAAAGTAGATCTGATCACTCTCCTATTGAACCCAGAAACTAATTCTATTGAAGCCTTTCTAATATGTCATATTTGCACTGATGCTTCCCTCTTCCTGGACAGTCTACTTCCTTAAGGCAAGGATTGTGTCATTTTTCTTAGTAACCTTGTCTTCTGGCATATAGCAGGGTCTAAAGAATGAGCTAACCCTAGTAGAGGGAGTTTCCTGGTAATGTTCAATTTTCCAGTCTTTAACCCAGTATACTGTCATAGACAGGATTTCAGTAATTGTTGAACGAAAGTGGTTAACTATTTCATATTATAAGACTTTGGGTATATAAAGTCTTTCAGTGTCATCTGATGTGCACTATGACCACAACTCTGTTCATAATTATGGTTATAAAGTTTATTCTTGTAATAGGCCGGGCATTGTGGCTCATGCCTGTAGTCCCAGCACTACGGGAGGCTGAGGCAGGCTGATCGCTTGGGGCTGATCGCTTGAGCCCAGGAGTCGGATACCAGCTTGGGCAACATGGCAAAACCCCATCTGTACAAAAAATTACAAAAACTAGCTGGGCGTGGTAGTCCCAGCTACTCAGGAGGCTGAGGTGGGAGGATCACCTGAGCTCAAGAAGGTTGAGGTTGCAGTGAGCCAAGATCGCACCACTGCACTCCAGCCTGGACACAGGGTGAGACCCTGTCTCAAAAACAAATTCTTTTTAAGTTTATTCTTGTAATAAATAAAACATAAGACAATAATCTAAAGTAGACGTTCCAAGAAAATTGACAACAGCAGCAGAGAGGGAAAAAGTGCAAAGGCCACATACGTGCTAAAAGACTTCAAAATCTGATTGAGTAAAAGAGTAAGGAGAATGGGATCCAGCAGACTAGTGCTATTGCATTTATTTCAAAGACAGCAAAGATTGAATGCAACGTTTGGATTCCCATATCATGATTAACTGCTACATGAGGGATAGCAAATGTCTACACCTGTAAATGAGACCTTAAGACAATCAGCCTTCAGAAAAACACCATCCCATTGGATACATAAGTAGAAGAAAATGGACAAATAAGAAGGCCGGGCATAGTGGCTCACACCTGTAATCCCAGCACTTTGGGAGGCTGAGGCAGGCAGATCACTTGAGGTTAGGAGTTCAAGAGCAGCCTGGCCCACATGGTGAAACCCCGTCTCTACTAAAAGTACAAGAATTAGCCTGGTGTGGTGGCATGCACCTGTAATAGCAGCTACTCAGGAGGCTAAGGCCAGAGAATTGCTCGAACCCAGGAGGCAGAGGTTGCAGTGAGCCAAGATTGTGCCACTGCACTCCAGCCTGAGTGACAGAGTGAGACTCCATCTCACAAAAAAGAAAAAAAAAGAAAAAAAAAGAAAAAGAAATCACATCACAGGTACTAAGGGGAAAAAAAGAAAATGAAGCCTTTTTTTCTTGAGACAAACTTCAAGCAGTCTCATTAAAATAAAATATAACCAGAAAGTGGTCTAAGCAAGCATGTGTCTGCAGCCACAAAATCTTAGAAGTAGATCAGGTCATGCAGAGAAACAGGCGATGTCATGCAGTAGACAATCAAGACCATCTTTCCTGCTAGGCCATACACTCTTCAAGGCCTGGACTTTGCCTGTTCTACTTATCTTATGCACAACACCTTGCACACTGCCGGGTACCAGGTATGCACTCAGATATTTGATAAATTGAATCAGAATGCAAAGGGGTATGAAGGAGACTTACACTGATGAGCTTGTCTTGTTGGTTAGAGAAAAGTTAGCTATTCTCTCAAACAATCAAGCAAAGGCAAATAGTTTTTTGTTTTTAAATCTGCTGGCACCAAGCAGCCTTTTCCTTCTGGCCACAGCAGACAGTGCTGCCAAATGACTGGTCCTACTTTCCTCCAGGCAGCATGAGGCCAGGATTTTTACAATGGATGAGATGGGAACAGGGCCAGTAAACCCTAGGTTCCCCCAGAGAAGAACTGGGCAATAATTCAAGCTCTTCTGAAAAAAGCAGGGCAAGACTACAAAGGCATTCATTCAGTCACTTAGTAAATATTTCTTCAGTACCCACTACATATGCGGTATTGTGCAGGGCACCAAAGGCTCTAAGTATCTGAGATTAACATCATGCTTGCAGGATAGCCATCATGCAAGTGTAGGCCACTACTTCCTCTGTGGCACTGTTCCTAAATTCAGCCAATTTAAATAGATTTCTGCGTCATGAACGGCATGCTTAAAATAACAAAATGACGAGAGTATTATAACAGAACCCTAGCATACCAAAAGTGTCTCTGTGCTTTAGTTGCCAAAATATTTTTAGCTTCAGCCCCACCCATGAAATTTATAAAAGTTCCTAGAATTTGAGTTCTCTTACGATAGGAATAATGTTTCTTTGTTTGCTTTTCTGGATAGATTTTTTACAAAACCAGCAAACATTCATTTATTGGTTCATTCATTCATTCATTCATGTGCTGAGCACCTACTATGAGCCAGATGCACCAGGTATACTATGATGAACTAAATAGTTCCTTCCTAATGAGAGGAAAGCAGACATCAAATAAAAGAACAATAAAAAAGTGAATCAATAAATGACTACAATTTCAGGGTATAGTAAGTATAACTAAGCTAACAAGATAAGGTGATATGTTGGTTAGTGACTGGGGCAGCGAAGAGGAGCTATTTGACACAGGTTATTCAGAAAGGTGGGTCTCAGAGGGCAAATCTTAGCTGAGAATGAAGGAATACAAAGGAGCCAGCCACTGGAAGAAATAAAGGGAGAGTATTTCAGATGGAAGGAAAAGCTAGTGCAGAGGCAGATACAAACTGGGCATGCTTAAGGACCCAAAGAAGGGGCTGTGTGGCTGCAGTGGGGAGGGCAGGAAGTATGAGAGAAGTCCCCATGCTTGTAGCCAGGTGGGGTACAGTGAAATTTACTCACAACACTCACCCACTCGGTATCTACCCTGTCCCCCACCACAAATTCTCTTCTGTGTTCTGGGGACAGAAAGATGTCTATGCTTTTGAATAGCTCTGAGCTCAGAGACAAGTATGTAAACAAATAGTCTAGGAGAAAATGAAACGTGCTAACAGAGGTGTGTGCAAAGTGCTACCAGATTCCACATAAGGAAAAGTAAACCATTTAGGAAGGAAGAGGAATGTCAGGTCAAACGTCTCTGATGTGTCGACCTTTCAACTTGCTCTTAAACAATTAGTAAGAGTGAAAAGTCAGAGAAGGCAAGATGGACATTCCAAGCAGAAGATTCCATTTGTAAAGTGAGAGAAACTTTACATCCCCAGTGGGGATCTCTTGAAGGTCCAGCTGGAGCCTGAGCTATGAGGAGGTTGGGGAGTAGGAGAGGACATAATTTTAAGAGCTTTGACGATGATGCTAGAGAGCCTGGATTTGTCCAGAAGTAATGGGACACAATGCTTTGATTTTAGAAGATAGCTGTGGCAGCTGCTGTGCAGGGTGAATCAGATAAGCAAACAGCTGGGGGCAGGAAGATGAACTTTGTTAGCTGTTGCAGTAATCCAGGCAAGAAAGTAGAAGAATTGGAATTATGGCAATGAGAGAAATAGAGCCTTGTAGTTTACAGGCGCAAGAAGAAAGAGAACAAACAAGGGCAGAGGGTAAGAGTAGGTCCAGCATAAATCAACAGCACTTGAGTCTGACCTGAATATGGCTTTTGGTGTGTCTTCTTAATTCCTTTATTTTATTGGCTCCTTTATTAAAGCTTGTACTTGATGCTGAAGGATTTAGTACTCTCTTTCTCCTTCCCCTTACACCTTCCAAGAGGATTATCTATTAATCCAAATGCTGACAGTCATCCATTTCCATTACAAAAATAGACCTTCTCTATAACAGGATCCTCGCTGCAAGTAGATGAGCATTTTAAATAGAGCCTGAGAAGAAAATGATTCTCAGCACTTTCTATAATCCATGTTTATTGTATGAGCCTTTACTGTGTTTTATGTTAATGGAATTTACCAACAAAAGCAATGGATATCAAATTGAAATAAAAAATAAATGTAATAAATATCGAGCATCTCATTTTATTCATTTCTTCATTCAGTAGGTCCTAAGCAGAAAGCACAGTGCTGGGCACTATAGGAAACATGTGTAAGAATCAATCTTGGAGGGTTTAAATTCTGGCAGGGAATATTAGACACATAAATAACAATAATATGAGATAAAAAGATATATGTGCCATAAAGAAAGGCACAAGGTATCAGGAATTTAAGAAGGAACGATTACTTCTGGTTGGTGTAGTCATGATGCCTTGATGAAATTGGGGATATTAAAGCTGAGGTTCAGTGCAGGAGATTTTTCTTGTGGAAGAGACTTCACAAAGGCAGAGAGCTGGGGACAGGTGAGACACAGAGTGAGTATTTAGTTTGGCTGGGCAGGAGTTGTGTATATGGAATCAACCAGAGTGAAGCCTGGTCTCAATGCCCTGCTGAGCAGCGGATGGGGCACAGGTGACTGAAGGCTGGCTTTGAACAGGAACTGGAATGATCTAAGAGTAAGTTTTTAAGGCGATTAATCTTGGCAGTGGCAGATAAAATAGATTAGATTGGAGAGAGATTGGAAACTGTTTAGAAGGCTATTGAAATAGTCTACAACAGCAGTAATGAGAGTCTCAAATAAGAGTGGATGCCATGGAATAAAAAATGAAAGAGTGGACTTGAGAGGTCTTAGCAAAAGATCTCAAGTCACTCCGTTTTTCTAGAAGCAAGAGAAAGCAAAGCAGGTTTTATTTTTCCCCACTGCTAAATCACATATGCTATTTTTGAAGAAAGATACAATTTTATCACATAATTTAAGAAAGTAACAATATAATGATAGTACTGAATTATTCTCTGGGTGATTTCAAATTTGCTAATTAATTCTATTATTAATGACTTTTTCTTAAATAAGAAACAAGGTCTCATTATGTTACCCAGGGTGGTTTTGAACTCCTGGACTGTCCTGTGTAGGCCTCTCAAAGTGCTGGAATTACAGGCATGAGTCACTGCGCCTGGCCTATTAATGGTATTTTTTAAAAGTTTTTTCTAATTTTTAAGTAACAATTTTAATTAAAAAAGCAATACATATACAAGGTAAAATTCCAAACACTACAGAGCAGTATATGAAATGAAAACTCCTCTTTCATCTAAAGCCTCTGTCCCGTGTTCCAGAGGCAACTGCCGTTATCACTTTCTAAGATATTGTTCAAATATTTTCTAGCCATTTAAAAGCCTATATACATACATATATTGTTCTATGTCTTTTCATTTCTCTTCTTTTTCTTTTTTTTTTTAGCCATTTCATATGCTTGACTCCTCTGTCTTTTGACCTAATATGTTCCCATTCTGTCTTTTAATTTTTTTTTCTTCTCTGTTTCCACATGCTTTCTCCAGTATAGGATTTCTCAGCCTTTTCACTATTGACAATTTTGGCTGGATAATCCTTTGTTGTGGAGGAGCTCTCCTGGGCATTGCAGATGTTAGGAAGAATTCCTGGCCTCTTTGCCCAGATCCAAAATCTGGGCAAAGAAAAAATCTTCTGGAAAGAATTCAGCATTCTAGATGCCAATAAAAACACTGATGTTTCATGGAAGGAGATCAAAATAGCAACATTAACAGGGGTCTGGAAGAAGTTGATTCTGACTTTTATAACTGACAGTTTCAAAATTTCATTGTAGGAAGTAACTGTGGATGTGGTAGAAACAGCAAGAGAACTTGAATTAGAAGTGAACCCTGAAAATGTGACTAGATTGCTGCTATCTCATGATCAAATTTAAATGGATGAGGAGTTGCTTCATAGGGATGAACAAAGAAAGTGGTTTCTTGAGATGAGATCTACTCCTGGTGAAGATGCTGCGAACAACGTTGAAATGACAACAAAGGACTTAAACTATGACAGAAACTTAGTTGATAAAGCAGTGGTAGGGTTTGAAAGGACTGACTCCAATTTTGAAAGAAGTTGTACTGTGGGTAAACAGCATTGCATGATACAGAGAAATTGTTCATGGAAAGAAGAGTACATGGATGCAGCAAACTTCATTGTTGTCTTATTTTAAGAAATTGCCACAGCCACTCCATCCTTCAGCAACCACCACCCTGGTCTATTAGAAACCATCAATATCAAGGCAAGATTCTCCACCAACAAAAAGCTTATGACTCACTGATGGCTCAGATGATCATTAGCATTTTTCAGCAATAAAGTATTTCTACATTAAGGTATATGCTTTACTTTTTCAGACATAATGTCTTTGTACCTTTAATAGACTATGGTATAGTGTAAATATAACTTTTATATGCACTGGGAAACAAAAAATTCATGTGACTCATTTTATTGGAATATTCACTTTAGTGCAGTGGTATAGAGCCAAACCTGTAATATATTGAGGTAAGCCTTTATATATCCTAAACACCATGAGATTCTCATTAAAGTAGAAACAAAATGCATGCAAATAATTTTCCTGGGTATTTATGGGGGTTATGAAGAGTTATAGACATTAATCATCAAGGTTATGTTATTTGGAGAGGAAAAAACTAGACATATGAAAATGATACCAACCTTACAAAGCAGAGCATATGGTGCTCAAATAAATGATGAAGAGATAAATGCTATTAATTTAGAGGAAAAAAAGGGGCAAGTTTTATAATTAAAACAATAATTTTTGAATGAATGATTCATAAATTAATGTGTGTGTGCATGGCATGGGGAATGTAAGGATATATTGGTTAGGGTGGATGGCATACTGGAGCTGCTTAGACTCTGGCAAAACTAATAATGTAATAATCAAAGAATTCCCACTGAAAGACTGGGAAGTTTGCTTTAGATCTTTTATCAAGTGATCTTGAAAACCTGAATGGGGTGGTATTTGAGAATGGCAAATCCAGGATTTTTTTACTTATGTTTAAGGGGGCAAATAGTCCTTAGACTGTATGTAATGTGGGGCCAAATAAACCTCTTGTCTTCTTCCCCTCATCTTTTTTACCCTTCAGTGAACATTCACTGTGTGTCAACTATATGTCAGTTTTTTACAAGGTACCAGGAATACAACTGTGAGTAGGACACAGAGAAGGATTCAATTCCCACGGAAGTTTTGATCAAACAAACAGATACTTTGCATATAGAATGTATTAATTCTCTGGAAGATTCTAGTGTTATTTCCAATCTCTAAACCATCTGTTATCATAATGCATATTTATGGTCTATTGTCTCTGTCTCTGCAAAGGCAATTAAATATTACCTTATAAACCTTCCAAATATGTTAGAAATTATAAGCTACACTGACCACAATAATTGATTTCCCACTGCAGTGCTACTCCGTCAGGACTGAGAGGCAGCAGGTAGTCTATTTGTTTGAAATAACTTCCTAGATGTTTGGGTGAGACAGTGAGGAATTACTAATCAAACTGAAAATAGAGCCACGTTAAGAAAGTACAATGTAATTATCCAATTGGAATTTGGCCAGTATGGTAAGACAGATTTCTCTCAATTCCTAAAGAAGAGAGAATGACAATGTTAAATTATGCTAAGCTTCAGCCATGAATATATTTCTGACTCAGGTACAGATACCACATTATATTTTGAATCTCTACCAGTCCTACATTCTTGATAACCCCATTGAAGAGTTCAGAGCCCTAGAAGCTTGGATATAAGCCATGAAAACATTTACTCAGGGAAAGCTCATTTCTCTTATGTGGACAGGAACATTTATATAGTAGACATTTAGAAAAGCTCTATTAGTGTTTAGGGCTGTAAGCTCTCTGAACGAGGGGTAGAAGTTGTACCAAATACATTAGTATCAACTCATTGCTAGAAGCTGAGTGCTGTTTAGAAAACAACACGTTCAATCCTAAATCTGGGAGGACAAAGGCTTTTTTCATCACAGACACACTGAGAATTTCTCGAAAGCTATTAATACGAGCCCCCCAAACTGTTTCTCTCTCACACACACCTACATGTATATGTGCAGATGCATTGTGTGCACATATTTATATGCAATTTCAAGGGTTGGAGGGCATCAGCTTCTCTGAATTCAGTCTATGGGCCCTCACACTCCAGGTTTAGAAGCTATAGTTTGGTCAGCTTGATTCTCTATAGGCTGCTGCTTCAGGCTAAGAAAACTAAATTCTCTCCTTTAACACAGGAACTGCTAAGGAATCTATCATCTCAGTGCTATTTGGAAATTTGGGTTAAATAATTTGCATATAAAGAGGCCTTACATGTTGAGTTTCTTTTATCTTAATATATATCTATCTTTATCTCATCAGAAAACAGATTGTATTTTTATTTTCTCTCTTCTAAGGAAATGATAAAAATAATCCTTATATAACTTATTTACTCAGTCTTAAGTTCATTGTTGCCTTTTTGTGATGGCAAATTTCTTGGGGTTAGCTACTTAAAAATACTTCCAAAGTATTTTACAAATTATAAATGCTTTAACATGGCTAATATTTTGTGATTTTTTTTTTTACTCTGAAAAAAATAGGGTATTTGAATCAAATAATTCAATTGGATTTTTTTCTTGGGATATTTAAAATAAATTACTAGACACCCCAATGTGCCAGGTATACTTTGAAGTTACTTCTTTAAAACCACTATTTATTTATTTATTTATTTATTTATTATCATTACTATTTTTTGAGACAGAGTTTCGCTGTTGTTGCCCAGGCTGGAGTACAATGGTGCAATCTCGGCTCACTTCAACCTCTGCCTCCTGGGTTCAAACAATTCTCCTGCCTCAGCCTCCCGAGTAGCTAGGATTACAGGCACCCACCACCATGTGTGGCTAATTTTTTGTATTTTTAGTAGAGATGGGGTTTCACTCTGTTGACCAGGTTGGTCTCAAACTCCTGACCTCAGGTGATCCCCCCACCTCAGCCTCCCAAAGTACTAGGATTACAGGCATGAGCCACTATGCCCAGCCCACTGTTTATTTATTTTTTTATTAAAGAATTAGAACATGTTTATACCATCTCACTGGGTATTCTTTATTCTTTTAAAAAGGATCTTTGGTCTAGCTCTCACAGCAGTCACTCATTTATCCTCCCTTCTTTCTTTCTTACATGATTTACTACAATGGGACATATTGAGATAGTCAATCAACACATTTATTGATTACCTATTCTACAAGGCATTATGTCAGATGGGATGGGGAATCCAAAGATGTTTAAGACAGGTCTTCCGGAGAATATAATCTATTGTCAAAGATATGATACGAACTAGATAATATAAACTTAATGTTAAGACTATATCTATAGTTTTGCTTGTAGAGGTTAAATGTATTTCATGCTAGATTTATTTGGCAAGTGGTAACTATATTTTACCCCAGAACTCCATAGTAAATAGAGGATTTAATATCATCATTTAATAAAGCTCTTATGGAATAACATTTTTAAAAATTTGTGTTTATTTCTTACCAGAGAGGCCTGTCAAATTTGCATCTTTGATGAAAATTTCAGTTATTCCAAGAGCCTTCAAAACATCTTTTAAATCAATTTCCTGTTCCACTGTGAACCTGGAGAACACATAGGGAGAAAAATATTTAGTTAGAGCATCTTGTTACCTGGAACAAGAACAAAGTGTTAGATATGTGGATATTTAAAGTCTGCTTTATGGAGAGTAAATTATGCTAAAACTGGCTTTTGACTGCAATTAGCATTTGATTGAACATGGAAAAATAGGTGGCATCAAAGAGATTGACATAACAAAATAGAATTTAAACACATAAGTAGGAAAATATATGATATAGACACAAAACCATAATATATGGTACAACAAATGAGTTTTGAGATCAAGTATCATTACCATATGATTACTTAGTATCATAGTATTGAGTAAAACTTGTAAATGAGTAGCTTTCAAAATCCTTTGACCTAGTAGTAATATATTTTATTTTTTTTTTTAAGCTGGAGATGACTAATCATACATTTACCTCGGTTATTTCATTCTCTTCTTAGTATCCTGGTCAATTTATGTTACTTTCCCTCTGCCACTGTGCAACTCCCACCCACATCAATGCCATGGACAAGGTTAAATTAGACCCAAATTCTATTTTGCAATAAATACATTTAGCATTTCAGCTCCCTACAACTCAGAGAAAGCAAAAATAAAATGCACTACATTAAAAATGTATCTTTATGGTTATAGTGATCTCTAAAACATAAACCTGTTCTCATGATATCATCACAAAAAAACTATTAATCAATGGAGAGTGAGTTAAACATTATATCTTAAAAACCATGTGCTTTTACACTGAAGAATTTTTTTTTTACTTTAAGTTCTGAGATACATGTACAAAACATACAGGTTTGTTACATAGGTATACATGTATCATGGTGGTTTGCTGTACCTATCAACCCATCATCTAAGTTTTAAGCTCCACATGCATTTAGGTATTTGTCCTAATGCTCTCCCTCCCCTTGCCCCCCTACCCCCTCAGACAGGACCCAGTGTGTGATGTTCCCCTCCCTAAGTCTACATGTTCTCATTGTTCGACTCCTACTTATGAGTGAGAACATCCGGTGCTTGGTTTTCTGCTCCTGTGTTAGTTTGCTGAGGATGATCGTTTCCAGCTTCATCCATGTCCCTGCAAAGGAAATGAACTCATCCTTTTTTATGGCTTCATAGTATTTCATGGCATATATATGCCACATTTTCTTTATCCAGTCTATCATTGATGGACATTTGGGTTGGTTCCAAGTCTTTGCTATTGTAAATAGTGCTTCAATATACATACATGTGAATGTGTCTTTATAATATAATGATTTGTAATCCTTTGGGTATATACCTAGTAATGGGATTGCTGGGTCAAATGGTATTTCTGGTTTTAGAAAACAGCATGGTACTCCAAAACAGATATATAGACCAATGGAACAGAACAGAGACCTCAGAAATAGCACCACACATCTACAACCATCTGATCTTTGACAAACCTGACAAAAACAAGCAATGGGGAAAGGATTCCCTATTTAATAAATGGTGCTGCGAAAACTGACTAGCCATACGCAGAAAACAGAAACTAGACCCCTTCCTTAACAACTTATACAAAAATTAACTCAAGATGGATTAAAGACTTAAATGTAAAACCTAAAACCATAAAAATCCTAGAAGAAAACCTAGACAATACCATTCAGGACATAGGCATGGGCAAAGACTTCATATCTAAAACATCAAAACCAATTGCAACAAAAGCCTAAATTGACAAATGGGATCTAACTAAACTAAAGAGCTTCTGCACAGCAAAAGAAACTACCATCAGAGTGAACAAGCAGCCTACAGAATGGGAGAAATTTTTGCAATCTATCCATCTGACAAGGTCTAATACCCAGAATCTACAAGGAACTTAAACAAATTTACAAGAAAAAACAACCTCATCAAAAAGTGGGCAAAGGATATGAACAGACATTTCTCAAAAGAAGACATTTATGCAGTCAACAAACATGAAGAAAAGCTCATCATCACTGGTCGTTAGAGAAATGAAAACAAAAACCACAATGAGATACCATCTCACGCCAGTCAGAATGGTGATTATTAAAAAGTCAGGAAACAACAGATGCTAGCGAGGCTGTGGAGAAATAGGAATGCTTTTACACTGTTGGTGGAAGTGTAAATTAGTACACTTAAGAGTTTTTTTAAACAAAAGAATCATGGGTCTTTATTTTTGTTTTAATTGACCTTATGAATTATTATATATAAATGTGTATCAATTTTGAAAAAATAAAACATTATTTTAAAACAAAATGAAAATAAATATAGTGATCGTAAACAGAATATTAACTTAAAAAATAGTTTCCACAGCAAGCCATATTGGTCTTAATATGGACTCTTCCCCAAACTAATGAATTGTATCACCAAACTTTCTTGTGAAAGACATGGACCAAGCATGCCTGCATCATGTAACATATTTTTGTGTGTGTGAGACAGGGTTTCACTCTGTCACCCAGGCTAGAGTGCAGTGGCATGATCACACCTCACTGCAGCCTCGAACCCCCAGGCTCAAGCAATTCTCCTGCTTCAGCCTCCCAAGTAGCTAGGACTACAGGTGCACATCACAGCACCTGGCTTTTATTTTTTGTTTTTAATTTGTTTGTGTAGATGTGGGTCTCACTTTATTGCTGAGGCTGATCTTGAAATTCTGGTCTAAAGCAATCTTCCTGCCTTGGCCTCCTGAGTAGCTAGGACTACAGACATAAAACACCATGCCTGAAGAAATACATTTTTAAACAAGCAAAGGCATTTATTACTTTTATTTTAAAAGTGAAAACAACTAGTTAGAACAAAATGCTTCACTTTTTCTAAGATGTTGCCTCCTAATTAATACAGATTATAAATATAAAATTTAAGGCAATAGGTTGTTCTCTTAACAGAGATAAGTCCGTGATAGTCAACAAAAAGTTTCATTAGCATCATTTCTAATGTCTGGTTTTAAGGAAAATGAGAAGGAAATGATGGCGGTAAACAAAAGGAATGATTAGTGGAAAATAGTCTTAGCAGGTTCACAGTTATGGAAAAATATGATTGACAGATGAGTACATGTATATCAAACAAACTAAACTGAGTGCTAAATTTTATCTAAATTTTGCACTTTGACTTGATATTATTTATTTTGTTTTCTACCAAAAGCAGGTATTGATTGTGAAGTAGAATTGTTCTATGGTATCCATCTCAAAAAAGGGAATGAGTAAGAAAATACAGAATGTCTCAGACAATACATTCAATGGCTTAAAATGTTTATGTGTGTATGCGTTTGCTTATTGCTACTATTTATTTTTGAACACTTATGTGGAGCTTAGTATATGCCAGAAACTTGCAAGAGCATAAAACAGATATTAATTTAAATATCACCACAACCCTTGAAGCAGGTATTTTTGTTATTCTCAGGTAATAGAAAACATTGAGTAGCAGAAAGATGAAATAACCTGTATAACCAAGGTCATACAGTTAATAAGTAGCATAGCAGGGCTATGGATCCAGGTGGTATTACAGTTGTCCTGATCCATTTAAAATAAGAAAGAGAAGGAAGATATTAGTAGGGGATTCTTTTTGCTTCTTAAAAGCAGCTTAGTTTGTTTCACACTTTAGTGATGAAACACTAGCTAGTCAGGTGATGATGAGTGACCGATCCAGGCGAACTTCGGCAAGTTTCTTAATTTCTGAGGCTCAGTTTTGGCACAGGAAAATGGCAATAATAATACCTATTTCATAGCATTGTTGGAAAGATTAAATAAGGTTAGATCATAGGATGGTGCTAGCATGCAGGAGGCATGCAACGAGGAGTAGATACCATTAATATCATTTATTATATTGTAGTTATGTATAACATGTCACATTATTATAGATGTTAGGGTGTCGTATGTTTGCATTCCAGTAGTAATTGGTGTAATTTGATTAAATAGCTATATTAATCCCTGCCACCTTAACTGTAAATCAGCCAAATCTATTGTCTTATTTATTTATTTATTTATTTATTTATTTTTATTATTATTATACTTTAAGTTTTGGGGTACATGTGCACAATGTGCAGGTTAGTTACATATGTATACATGTGCCATGCTGGTGCGCTGCACCCACTAACTCGTCATCTAGCATTAGGTATATATCCCAATGCTATCCCTCCCCCTCCCCCAACCCCACAACAGTCCCCAGAGTGTGATGTTCCCCTTCCTGTGTCCATGTGTTCTCATTGTTCAATTCCCACCTATGAGTGAGAATATGCGGTGTTTGGTTTTTTCATCTTGCGATAGTTTACTGAGAATGATGATTTCCAATTTCATCCATGTCCCTACAAAGGACATGAACTCATCATTTTTTATGGCTGCATAGTATTCCGTGGTGTATATGTGCCACATTTTCGTAATCCAGTCTATCATTGTTGGACATTTGGGTTGGTTCCAAGTCTTTGCTATTGTGAATAATGCCTCAATAAACATACGTGTGCATGTGTCTTTATAGCAGCATGATTTATAGTCCTTTGGGTATATACCCAGTAATGGGATGGCTGGGTCAAATGGTATTTCTAGTTCTAGATCCCTGAGGAATCGCCACACTGACTTCCACAATGGTTGAACTAGTTTACAGTCCCACCAACAGTGTAAAAGTGTTCCTATTTCTCCACATCCTCTCCAGCACCTGTTGTTTCCTGACTTTTTAATGATTGCCATTCTAACTGGTGTGAGATGGCATCTCATTGTGGTTTTGATTTGCATTTCTCTGATGGCCAGTGATGGTGAGCATTTTTTCATGTGTTTTTTGGCTGCATAAATGTCTTCTTTTGAGAAGTGTCTGTTCATGTCCTTCGGCCACTTTTTGATGGGGTTGTTTGTTTTTTTCTTGTAAATTTGTTTGAGTTCATTGTAGATTCTGGATATTAGCCCTTTGTCAGATGAGTAGGTTGCAAAAATTTTCTCCCATTTTGTAGGTTGCCTGTTCACTCTGATGGTAGTTTGTTTTGCTGTGCAGAAGCTCTTTAGTTTAATTAGATCCCATTTGTCAATTTTGGCTTTTGTTGCCATTGCTTTTGGTGTTTTAGACATGAAGTCCTTGCCCATGCCTATGTCCCGAATGGTAATGCCTAGGTTTTCTTCTAGGGTTTTTATGGTTTTAGGTCTAACGTTTAAGTCTTTAATCCATCTTGAATTGATTTTTGTATAAGGTGTAAGGAAGGGATCCAGTTTCAGCTTTCTACATATGGCTAGCCAGTTTCCCCAGCACCATTTATTAAATAGGGAATCCTTTCCCCATTGCTTGTTTTTCTCAGGTTTGTCAAAGATCAGATAGTTGTAGATATGCGGCATTATTTCTGAGGGCTCTGTTCTGTTCCAATATTTGCAATATCTAGCATAAGCAAACCACATAGGTTGCAAATGAAATAAAATCTAGGTGTTTGTAAGACCTTGTTCAAAGTTGAAGATAGGGAGTAAATAATCTCTAGTTGTCCATTCCTTGACTTTTTTAAAAAGCAAACTATTGAAAAATACTGATTATTTATTATTTCTTTCCTCTTAATAAAAGATAATATTAATATAAATAATCGTTATCTCCCATATATTGAGTGCTTACTATGTTTCAGGCACTATGCAAATCCTTTTATGAATAATATATTATTTAATGATTTCCATGATGCTCTCGAACAACCCTATGAGATAAGTGTCATTATCTCCTGGCTGCAGAAGGCTAAACTGAAGCTTAAAAGAGCTAAGCAACAAGCAACTTTCTCTAATCACACAGATAATAGGTGGTAGAATGAGGATATGAATGGAGGTCTTTCTGACAGTAAAGCCCCCGCATCACTAATCACTATAATTCCAACAACAACTTTTAAAAATTAAAAAAAAAATTAGAAGTAGATTTTACATTTCATAAATTATAAACATTAAAAGCCATGACACTGCTTTTATAAAGCCAAAGGGCATGCCTATTTTAATAAAGGCATACAATGTAATTTCTGCATTTGCAACTTTCTACCTGAATAAGTTGAAGAGCCATATGGAGGGTAGAGGTTTGAAGACCTGCAGAACAAGTGTTAGAAAATAACAAATATATCCTAGGTAGGAGACTATAACACATATAAGGATTAAAAACCCAATCATACCCTTTGTAGAAAAATCTAATGAAAAGCACTCATGTTAAAAAACAAAATCAGGGCCGGGTGCAGTGGCCCATGCCTGTAATCCCAGCACTTTGGGAGGCCGAGGCAGGTGGATCACCTGAGGTCAGGAGTTCGAGACCAGCCTGGCCAATATGGCAAAAACCCATCTCTACTAAAAACACAAAAATTAGCTGGACATGGTGGCGCATGCCTGTAATCCCAGCTACTTAGGAGGCTGAGGCAGGAGAATGGCTTTTGAACCTGGGAGGTGGAGGTTGCAGTGCTCTTGCAGAGCCAAGACCATGCCATTGCATTCCAGCCTGGGTGACAGAGTGAGATTCTGTCTAAAAGAAAAACAAAACAAAACAAAACAAAACAGCAACAACAAAAAAGCAGACGACTTATGTAGTTTTCTTTACAAACATGAAACTAAAATGCTTTATTAATAGGCAATTATTTCAAAATATCAGGATAGTTTCTGGTTACAAAATAGAGAACCACTTCACATCCTTTGATGTCCAACACTCTGATCACAAATGACAAATCTGAGACTACAAAGCCAGAGTAGACTGATACTACATACAGCAAGGTACATCTGCTTCCAAGTATTAAAGTATTTGATGCTGACTTTAGAAAAATCTTTTTATATCTAAGCTATATCAGTAAAGACTGAAAAGGAAGCATATACACTGAAGAGGAGAAAATTCAAAAGAATCAAGTTTAAAAAACTCAATTTAGAGAGAAGTATATATAAAGCTACCTATAAGATTAACACAGTGTAAATACCAGGACTTAAAATGTACACTAAACAAACTACAATAATATTAACAATAGGTAATAATCACATAATGCTTACGCTGTAGCAGATTTTATACTTAAGTGCTTTTTGGGTGTTTTACATAAATATTTTATATATGAAACAAACTATTTTTGCTACCATGGATAAATGGAAGGATCTGGCAATCTTATTTAAATCTTAGAGATGTACAACTATGTATATAAATCTTGCGGTATTTCATTGGATTTGGTAATAGGTACAGCAATCTTACCTTTTCTTGAATAGATTCTTATATTTTGGATAAAAATACAATTTCAATTCAGCATATAATTTCTGTAGAACTTACTGTTAAGAGGAAAAAAACTGCTAAAATACAAAAGCAATTTCTTCTACACGACCCTCCCCTGCATATACCCTCCCCTTTACCTCTTAAAGACAGCATTTTATATATTTTTATTATTTTGATAATAATCTACAAGAAACTTAAATTTACAAGAAAAAATACCCATCAAAAAGTGGGCAAAGGATATGAACAGACACTTCTCAAAAGAAGACATTTATGTGGCCAACAAACATATGAAAAAAAGCTCATCAGCACTGGTCATTAGAGAAATGCAAATCAAAAGCACAATAAGATACCACCATCTCATGCCAGTTAGAATGGCGATCATTAAAAAGTCAGAAAACAACAGGTGCTGGAGAGGATGTGGAGAAATAGTAATGCTTTTACACTGTTGGTGGGAGTGTAAATTAGTTCAACCATTGTGGAAGACAGTGTGGCAATTCCTCAAGGATCTAGAACCAGAAATAGCATTTGACCCAGCAATCCCATTACTGGGTATATACCCAAAGGATTATAAATCATTCTACTATAAAGACACACACACACGTATGTTTATTGCAGCACTATTCACAATAGCAAAGACTTGGAACCAACCCAAATGTCCATCAGTGATAGACTGGATAAAGAAAATGTGGCACATATATACCATGGAATATTATGCAGCCATAAAAAAGAATGAGTTCATGTCCTTTGCAGGGACATGGATGAAGCTGGAAAGCATCATCCTCAGCAAACTAACACAGGAACAGAAAACCAAACACCGCATGTTGTCACTCACAAGTGGGAGTTGAACAATAAGAATGCATGGACACAAGGAAGGGAACATCACACACCGGGGCCTGTTGGAGGGTTGGGGCCTTGGGGAGGGACAGCATTAGGAGAAATACCTAATGTAGGTGATGGGTTGATGGGTGCAGCAAACCACCATGGCACGTGTATACCTATGTAACAAACCTGCATGTTCTGCACATGTATCCCAGAACTTGAAGTATAAAGAGAAAGCTCAAAAAATATATATAAAGGCATTTTAATATGAAAAAATAAAAAGCTAAAAAAACCTTTTATTTTAGATTCAAGGGATACGTATGTAGGTTTGTTACATGGGTATATTGCATATTGCTGAGGTTTAGGATACAAATGATCCTGTCACCCAGATAGTGAGCACAGCACCCAATAGTTTTTCCACCCTTGCCCCCTTTCCGTCTTCCCTCCTCTAGTCATCCTCAGTGTCTGTCATTGCCATCTTTATGTCCATGAGTACCCAAAATTTAGCTCCCACTTATAAGTGAGAAAATGCAGTATTTGGTTTTCAAGGACAGTGTTTGAAAGCTGTTTGTATAAATTCTAGCAAAATAGGAAGTAAAAGTACCTGTCAAGCAGGACAAGAATGTGGTCAAAATACAGAAATGCAAGTTGCATTTTCAGAGTAATATCTCTCTGTGGATAAAACTATGCAAACCATTAAAATTGACACTTGAGTAAACACAGAGTATAGCTATGAAAAACATTTTTACCTTTGCTAAAAATGGGTCACATAAATCATTACCATTATCAAACATTTAGTGGATCCTAATGCTGTAAAATGGAGAAGGTGGAGAGTTTCACACTGATTATTGTAACATATAAGTATTTGAAAAGAGCCATTCTGTTAAAAGGGGAATCCAGAGTTATTTATTTTGCTATTTAGCCTCCCTATCTATGCATTAGCCATGTACAGGGAGAATTTATGGAACTTCTGGAAAAATTGATACATGATAATTACCTGTGCCTAATTTAGTACAGGCATGAATATGAGCAAGACAGCCAAACTATTTCATAATTGAAGAGTATCTCTTAGGAAATGAAAATTTAATTTTCTTCTGCTGCCACATTCAGTTTCTCAGTGGACAGGACCTAGAGGCCACATTTTCTAGTGAATATGGTTGAATTAGAATGTATAATATTTAGTAAGCATTCATTTAGAATTCTGTTAATATACTCCTAAATAAATTTGCATCCTCATAGAATTGGAGCATTTGGAAGCACTGCACTTAATTCATGGATTTAATAAGAGAAGCATTAACACTGTACTGAATTTCTCATTTTATCAAAAAGAATTCTTCATAAAATGCAAGAAAAAATACAAAATTAATTGTGAAAGGTCATTAGATGAGGGCCAACATAGACTAAATGTTTTATAACTTTAGGCCTGATTTACATAGTAATTTAAATTTAATCATTCATGTTCAAAAGTAAATTGTTCTTTGGAATTAAGGTACATTGTTTATATATTTAGTATATAAATGTCAATTATCATACATAAAAAAAAAACGCTTGGTAGGTATTCATTAACTACCTCTCCTTAAGAATAGACTTATAATGGAATATTTCTACATATATGTATTGTCACAGAAAGTTATGCATGCTAAATATCTTAGCCAAAAGGATTTGGGTTATGATTGCCTTGACTTTTGTATATAGACAAGAAAATATGTGGCTATATATAGCCATATGCAGAAAATTGAAACTGGATCCCTTCCTTACACCTTATACAAAAGTTAACTCAAGATGGATTAAAGACTTAAATGTAAAACCAAAAACTATAAAAACCCTAGAAGAAAACCTAGGCAATACCATTCAGGACACAGACACAGGCAAAGATTACATGAGAAAAACATCAAAAGCGATTGCAACAAAAGCAAAACTTAACAAATGGGATTTAATTAAATTAAAGAGCTTCTGCGCAGCAATGAAACTATCATCAGAGTGAACAGAAAACCTACAGAAAGGGAGGAAATTCTTCCAATCTATCCATCTGACAAAGGTCTAATATCCAGAATCTATAAGAAAATTTACAAGGAGTAAACAATCACATTAAAAAGTAGGCAAATGGCATGAACAACATGACTCAAAAGAAGACATGTATGCAGCCAACAAACATGAAAAACAGCTCAACATCACTGAACATTAGAGAAATTCAAATCAAAACCACAGTGAGATACCATCTCATGCCAGTCAGAATGGCAATTATTAAAAAGTCAAGAAACAACACATGCTGGCAAGGCTGTGGAGAAAAAGGAACTTTTTTACACTGTTGGTGGAAATGTAAATTAGTTCAACCATTGTGGAAGACAGTGACTCCTCAAAGATCTAGAACCAGAAATACCATTTGACCCAGCAATCCCATTACCGGGTATATACCCAAAGGATTACAAATCATTCTATTATAAAGATACATGCACACATATGTTCATTGCAGCACTATTCACAATAGCAAAGACATGGAATCAACCCAAAATGCCATGCCCATCAAGGACAGACCAGATAAAAAAAAAATGTTGTACATATACACCATGGAATACTATGCAGCCATAAAAAGGAATGAGATCATGCCCTTTGCAGGGACATGGATGGAGCTGGGAGCTATTATCTTCAGCAAACTGACACAGGAACAGAAAACCAAACAGTGCATGTTCTCACTTATAAGTGGGAGCTGAACAATTAGAACACATGGACACAGGGAGGGGAACAACACACATTGGGGCCTGTCAGGGGGTTGCGGGGAGGGAGAGTATCAGGATAAATAGC